>NC_000012.12:108369218-108520734 GCF_000001405.40 Homo sapiens
CACATCCCCTCAACACACACACAGAGATATAGCATTAATGGGAGTATTTTAGCCATCCTAGAGCAGATGGAGCCATTTGAAGGAAAGAGTTCTTCTAAGACTCAATAATTAAATCCTATGAGCAGCATGTCTGAGCTAAAGAAAATGGCATAGTTTTATATAACCCTTAAGCATTCTTCTGCACAAAGTATTGGTATAATCTCCATGTCAAAGATGAGAAACCTGAGACTCAAAGGGGGACAATGATCAAAATTCAAACACAGAGAGTTTGGGGCGGGGGGGCGGTGTTCAGACTTGAAACCCAATCCGTGATTGTCTCCCAATCCAGGCATCATACTCTCTCACAACCCTGGAATCACTAAAATGTTTGAACCACACTGGGTCCTCCCCAGCTTGCTGTTCTCCAACCCCATGGTCCCTTCTAGCTTCCCTTGGGTTCTGGACACCAGCTCCAGTGCCAGTGCTGGTGGGAAGCTCCGAGCATCACCCACCAACAGACCAGAGCCAGAGTGGGCTGCCACATGCCACACAGCAACCACACAGCAAAATAAGCCCAGTGGGCCCACTGCTTAGAGCCCTGCCTAATGAGCTCTGAACTCAGTTCTGATGCCACAATCAATTAATGTGAAAACTCCCAGCTGCGGTCACTCCATGCATTTGTTTGCAAGATTAATGGTAAATACAAAATTGCTTGTTCACCTTGGGATAGTCAGGGAAATCTGGAGAACACCCATGCGACAGCCCCATAAATATTCCCTGAGGCCACTCCTGCCTTTTGCCACATCCGTTGTTATCAGAATGTAGGATCCCAGTGTTTTTCCGCTCATGCTTTGCAAGGCCAAGGGACATGCTGGGGAATGGGCATGATTGTATAATTGAGAGGAATTTCAGTGCCCCTTCTCCCTCCTGGGAGCAAAGGGCAAATGGAGAGGGCCTCCATTTGCCCTTCCCAGGGGTATGGGAAGAAAAGATGCTTCCAGGAGGACAACAAATGGCTCCCTCTCCTGGATTTTTTCTTCAGAAACCAGCTTTCAAGATTGAATAGAGGCCAGGTGCAGTGGCTCATGTCTTTAATCCCAGTGCTTTGGGAGACTGAGGCAGGAGGAATACTTGAACCCATGGAGTTCGAGACCAGACTGGGCAATATAGTGAGCCCTCATCTCTATTTTAATAAAAAGTAAAAATAAAAATTAAAAAGTTGAATATAATAATAATAATAATGGTACATTAACTTACCCATATTCTGAGCTCACTAGGAACCGGGGACTTTACATTGTCTTACTTCATCGTGGCCACAGCCCTATCTATGAGCATGAAACAGTTATTATCTCCATTTCGCAGATGAAAAAGACCAAGGAACGAGGTCATACAATGGTTTAGTTGGGGAGCCTGGACTTGAGCCAGGGCCTTCTGACACCAGAGTACCAGAGCCTGAGCCCTTCACCACAGTCCACGGAATTCAGGCTCCACACATCTTGCTCATCTTTCCCTGTGGGTCTTCACCAGGTGGGGTTCCCTGGTCAGGACTAAATGAGGAAAGTCAGCTCCTGGGGACTTCCAGGACTGGACTCTGAAATATCACCTGCATTTAATCTCCCACTTCTGTTGGAGCCCCCATCTCTGCTGCCCAGTAGTTGAGAGCTCAGGTCCTAGGGTCAGACAGGAGGTTCCAGCCTCAACCCCTCTACTTTCCAGCACTGTGGCCTTGGACTTTCCCTGAGTCTGTTTCTCCTCTATAAAAAAAGGTTTGTGGTAAGGTGTGTTTTGTTCTTGTGTTTTGCTAGGTAATAAATGCTCAGGATAAAAAAAATTCCAAATGAGGCTGGGTGCAGTGGCTCATGCCTGTAATCCCGGCAGTTTGGGAGTCCAAGGCGGGCGGATCACCTGAGGCCAGGAGTTCAAGACCAGCCTGAGCAACACAGTGAAACTCTGTCTCTACTAAAAATACAAAAATTAGCTGGGCATGGTGGCATGCACCTGCATTCCCAGCTACTCAGGAGGCTGAGGCACGAGAATCACTTGAACGCGGGAGGCGGAGGTTGCAGTGAGCCAAGATTGTGCCACTGCACTCCAGCCTGGGCTAAACAGCGAGACTCTGTCTCAAAAAAAGAAAACAAATTCCAAACGAACAAAAGAGGAAAATCTTTCTTCCACCGTTGTCTCCCTGTCCCCTCTACCTCCCAAGGTCTCCCCAGCTGTGACCACCACTACCAGTTTCTTACACATCCTTCAACAGCAGCCCTGCCAGGCAGCAATGATGGAGACATTCCATATCTCCATTCTCCAAAACACTGTCTATAGAGGACTTGAAATGTGGCTAATGTGATGATGAACTGAATTCTTAATTGTATTGAATTTTAACGAATTTGTATTTAAAGAGCCACCTGTGGCTAGTGGCTACAATATTGAAAGGTCGGTGCAGGTATAGTAACCCTAATGATAACTAACATCTATGGAGCCATAGATATGCCATGATGTGGCAGGCCCTGCTCCAAGTATTTCCCACATATTAACTCCTAGGTCTCATAAGAAGCCTATGACATAGATATTATTTCCACTGTTTTCTCTCTGGAGAAAATGAAGGGTGGCGAGGTTAAGTTCTTGTGAGTTCACACTACCAGGATGTGGAGGAGTTTGATCTGAGCCCGGGCTCTCTGACACAGAGCCTGGGATCTTAGCCACTGTAATGCAGAGGCTGTTCTAAGATAAATAAGCAGGCTAAATGAGAATGTGTACAGTAAGCTTGGCACCGCGCCTGGCACAGAACAGGTCCTCGGTAGCTTACCCTCCACCCACCCCTTTAATCAGCTCTGTCTCCTTTCTGGTCCCTGTTTAAGCCCTACTTCTCCCCACCCCTGAGCCCTTGCATAAGCTGTGCCCCCTTTCCAGAATATCACTCTTAATCTTTCCAGTTAGTCAAATCCTCCCTATCCATCAGGCACCAAGGATGGGAAAAAGTGCTTGAAGCATGAGTCGGCCTGGGCAAGGAATGAAGGAGCAGGGAATATGAAGGAACTGGTTACCAGAACTCAGACAGAATTGTGCAACAGAATCTGTGGCCTTCTGGAGGGGGATGCAGCCAAGCCACAGCCCAGCAAGGCAGTGAAAACACAGATATCAGTAGGGTGTGGACTGCACAATGGGAAGCAGTAAGAAAGGAGGTAGGTAGGAGAAGCTAGATGGGTCATGGGGGCCTTGACCACCAAATATTAGTGTAGTGTAGATCTGATTTAATAAGTAGTAGGGGGCTGGTGTTGATGTATTCATCCATTTAGCTAATATTTATTAGGCACGTGCTGTGTGTACCTGGCCCTGTGCTAGGCACTTGGGATACAATGGTAAACCAAAACCAAAGTTCCTATACTTAGAGGGTAATTATATTACAGCTATATAGGAGCCATGATGGGCATGCTATGATGGGGCAGAGAGAGGTAGGAAGATGTATAACCTCCACTGTGGAGGGAAGATCATGCCCAAGATGATCTCTGAGGATGAGTAGGAGGTAATCAAGTTGGTGGGAATGTGAAAATAGTGCAAAGGGGGAGTATTCCAGAGAGAGGAAATAGAATATACAAAAAACCCAAAGAGAGTAGAGAAATAAGCATATTTGGAGAATTTAATATAGCACAGTGTTGCTAGAGAGTGGGATGTGGTTGACAAGGTTGAAGATGTAAGCCTGGGCCAGACCTCACAGGACCTGGCAAAGAGTTGTGACTATCCTGAGGGCAATGGGGACTATTGAGAGTTCTAAAGCAGGAGCAACATGGTTAGATTTGTGTTCTAGAATATCTCCCTGGCTTTCACGGTGGAAGTGGGTTGTAGAGGGGCAACAGGAAGCAAATCAGTTAGGAGGCTATTGCTGCAGTCCAGGAGACATAATGATGGCCTGGCATAAGGCAGTAGCTTTGAGGATGGAGAAGAAAGCAAGAGAGATTCCAGAAAAGTTAAAACTGACAGAACTTGAGGACCCTATGGGGGATGAAAAAAAGGATGGAGGTGCTGGAAGCAAAGTCACCATCATCTTTCAAGTTTGCTTAGGACTAAGAGGCTGAGAATTTGCACCTGCATTTCCACTCCTGAGCCCCAGGAGGCGCTATTGGGTAGTACAGATACTGACTGGCTCCTCTCCCCCAATGCCCACTACCCAGATTCTGGGACCCTTTGATTTACTCATCCTGCCATCCAACAGAACTCCTGTCTGCTTCTCATTTTCCAGAATGTTTTCAGCAAACATTCAATGAGTGACCATCCTAAGCCAAACCCTAAGTTAGGAACCACAGCTATAGAAGTAGCCAAGTGACCAGACAGAGCCTCTGCCCCCAAGGACATTTCTAATTCTTTCTCTCTCAGTCAAATTAATGTCTTTTATTCCCACTCCTCAAAATAACACATCACATAGCTATAAATGCATGGATTGGGACATGCAAAGTTCTGAAGGAAGGACATTCCTGGTAGAGGGAACAGCAAGTGCAAAGAACCAGGGCTTGGAATTTTTGGTGTGTCAGAAATAGCAAGAAGACCAGAGTGGCTGGAGCAAAGTGAGTAAAAAGTTGAGTACTAGGAAGTGAGATCGGAGAGGAAATGGGCCAGACCATGTAAGATTTTGTGCGCTGTATTGATTACCTGCTGCTGCATAATAAATTACTACAAATTACAAATTAGTAGTAACTACAGATTAGTAGCTTAAAAAAACATGTATTTATTATCACACAGTTTCTATGGGCCAGGAATCCAGGCATGCTTTAGCAGGTCCTCATGCCTCAGGGTCTCTCTCAAGGCTGCAATCAAGTTGTCAGCTGGAGCTGAGTTCTCATCTGAAAGCTCAGCTGGGGAAGGACTGCTTCCAAGCTGGCTCTGGTTGTTGGCAGAATTCAGTTCCTCAAGGGCTGTCATATTGAGGTCCTCAGTTCCTTACTGGTTGTTGATCAGAGGTTGCTCTTAATTCCCTGACATGTGGACCTCACCAACACAGCCCTTCATCCAAGCATGCAAACTGAGAAAGCAATAGAGAGAGTCTACTAGAAAGACAGCCCTTAGAATTGTACATAGTATAATCATGGAAGTAATATCCCACCATCTTGGTTAGAAGTGAGTCACAGTTCCTGCCCATACCAAATGGAAGAGGATTACACAAGATGTGAATGCAGAAACTGGGGATCAGGGGGACCACTTTGGAGTTTGTCCACCACATGACTATGCCAAAGACAAATTGGGCTTTCTGGCATACCTCCTCACAATATTACCTCTTCTGAGTAAGAGAATGTGTAGGGGCAACAGTTAGGTTCTTTGCCTTCATCCTATTAACAAGACTCCACAAGTACTTCCTTTGTACATAAATCTATCCAATACCCCAGGAAGAAAGTAAAACAAGTACCATGATCCCATTTTACAGATGGCAAGGCAGAGGCTGAGGCTGAGGCTAAGGTGATTTGCCCAAGGCCACTTTACCTGTTAGTAGATGAGCATGTGGGCCCAAGTCTGGATTTCTTTCTTCTTTGTCTAGCTATTCCCATTCAGGGCACTGAAGTCCATAAATTCCATCTGCCACAGCAGGTCTTGCCAGCAGAGGCATCCGGGAGTCCCTGGCACTGACTCAAAGGACTGTCTTCCTGCTGTGGAGGGAGGGAATCCTTTGGCTTGGCACTCCTCCTGCAATTTTCCACCTGGTGGGTTTTAATCTTTCAGATAACAGATACCTAAGCATCCCACCACCCTGGGGAAAGCAAAAGCTCAAAGTAACTTGGGAAGGAGAAGGGGACACAAGAATATGCCCTGTGTCTGAGCACAAAGGAACAGTTGTCATGGTCAGGCATCCAAGTGACTAAGAAACAGAGCATCCTACACAGAATCTTGGGGGAGAAAAAAAAGACAGAGGCTGCCCCTAGATCCAGCCTGGCAGCCAAGTCTTGAGTACCCACTGGGGAGGGAGGCTGGCTCATCTAGGCATCTGAGAAGGACTCCCTGCCAACTTGCTTCCCACTGGGTCTGGGCCTGTTTGTCTTCATGTCCACACCTCACCCTTCCCTGGCCCAGCTCTGTATCTCAGGGGGCCTGACCCTGTGGGCTGAATTTCCCAGGCTCCTTGGTCAACTGCGTTCTCTCTGGGTTCCACCAACGGAAGGCCCAGACAGGAGATATGAGGGTGGAGAAAAGGGAGAGCCAGAATATTTCTCCCTTTCCTTCTCTGATTTGGGTACTGTCTTAGTCTATTTTGTGCTGTTTTAACAGAATACCACTTAGTCTATTTTGTGCTGTTATAACAGAACCCTATTTTGTGCTGTTGTACCAGAATATAACATAATCTTGTGCTGTTATACAGACTCGGTCATGTATAATAAAGAGAAAATTATTTCTCACAGTTCTGGAGCCTGAGAAGTCCAAGACCAAGGTGTTAGCATCTGATGAGGACCTACTTGCCATGTCATAACATGGTGAAGAGCAAAGGGAGTGGAAGGCGGGGACTGAAGCTGCCCTTTTATAATGAACCAACTCCAGCAATGACAGCATTAATCAATTCATGAGGTTGGAGCCCTCATAGCCTGATCACCTCTTAAGTTCCCACCTCTTAATATTGTTATGATTAAGTTTCAACACAAGTTTGAGAGAAGAAAAATGTTT
The DNA here is from genome assembly GCF_000001405.40 of Homo sapiens. Taxonomy (NCBI): domain Eukaryota; kingdom Metazoa; phylum Chordata; class Mammalia; order Primates; family Hominidae; genus Homo; species Homo sapiens. The sequence goes on from NC_000012.12 coordinate 108,375,837, forward strand.
AAACCATAACAGGCAGTGTGTCTGACAGTGTTGGATTCCTTTTTGCCATGAATTTCCCCTGGATAAGCCCACTCTAATTCCAACTTCTGCCAGGTGACACTAGCCCCAAGACACCAGTAACACCACCCCTCCTTGCATTCTTCTAGCCCTAAGGGATGTAGGAGCTTCATGCTCTTGCCAATCCCTGGAGTGTCTCCTTCTTAGATCGGGCTACCCTCAAAGCAGATCCTGAAACAGACAAGGGTGCATTGAATTTATTTGGAAGGTAATCCTGGGAGGCACAAATAAAGGGGAGGGGAAGTGAGATAGGGAAAGGATAACAGCTGATAAAGGATGCGTTAAGGATGGGTTACTACTGTGGGCAACTGGGACTAAATCCCACAGGGGCCCTTCTAAGAATCATTGTGAAACACATCCCAGAATCAACCCCCTGGAGGAAGAGGAAGCTGCATTGTTTGTCTACTAAATTCCATTCGCCTGACTGAGGATGGTCCCTGGGGTGTTAACTCCTTCACACCCCCAGACTGGCCAGTAAGTACATGAAAAAATGCTCAACAGCATTGGTCATATTCATAACAAACCACAATGAGATAACACTTCATACCTTTAAAATGGCTAAAATTAAAAGGACTGATAATACCAAGTGTTGACAAAGATGGGGGACAAGTGAAACTCACACATCCTTGGTGGCAATGTAATATGTGGCAATCATTTTGGGAAAATATCTAGCTGTTTCTTATAAAACAAATAAGCACTGACTCTAAGATGCAACTATCTCCCTCCTGAGTGTTTACCCAAGACAAATAAAAACACATATTACCACGAATACTTGTACACAAATGTTCATAACAGCTTTACTCATCATAGACAAAGAAAAGTTAACTTGAACAAGACAAGGATACCCACTCTCACCACTCCTATTCAACAAAGTACTGGAAGTCCTTGACCAAGCAATCAGGCAAGAGAAAGAAATGAAAGGCATCCAAATAGGAAAAGAAGTCAAACTATCTCTCTTTGTGGATAACATGACTCTATACATAGAAAAGCCCAAAGAATCTGCCAAAAGGCTCCTAGAACTGATAAGCAACTTCAGCAAAATTTCAGGATGCAAAATCAATTTACAAAAATAAGTAGCATTTCTATACATCTATAACCTTCAAGCTGAGAGCCAAATCAAGAATGCAATGCCATTTACAATAGACACACAAAAAAAATATCTAGGAGTATACCTAACCAAGGAGGTGAAAGATCTCTACAAGGAAAACTACAAAACACTGCTGAAAGAAATCAGAGATGATACAAACAAATGGAAAATCATTCCATACTCATGGATTAGAATAATCAATATAGTTAAAATGGCCATACTGCCCAAAGCAACCTAAAAATTCAATGCTATTCCTATCAAGTTACCAATGTTATTTTTTACAGAACTAGAAAAAAAAGCTATTCTAAAGTTCATATGGAACTGAATAAAAAGAACCCAAATAGCCAAAGCAATCCTAAACAAAAAGAACAAAGCTGGAGGCATCACATTACTCAACTTCAAATTATACTGTAAGTTATACAGTAACCAAAACCACAAGGTATTGGTACAAAAACAGACAGATAGACCGAAGGAACTGAATAGAGAACCCAGAAACAAAGCCACACATCTGTAGTCATCTAATCTTCTATAAATCAACAAAAATAACAATGGGGAAAATGGTGCTGGGACAGCTGGCTTGACATACACAGGAGAATAAAACTGGACCCCTATCTTTCACCCTGTAGAAAAATTAACTCAAGATGGATTAAAGATTTAAATGTCACCTTCAAACTACAAGAACCCTAAAAGAAAACCAAGAAAGCATGCTTTTGGACATTAACCTTGGCAAAGAATTTATGACTAAGATCTCAAAAGCAATTCCAACAAAAACAAAAAATGATAAGTGGGATAGTTTAATTAAACTAAAAAGCTTCTGCACAGAAAAAGAAACTAAAACCTACAGAATGGGAGAAAATATTTACAAACTATGCATCCAACAAAGGCCTGGTATCCAGAATCTATAAGAAACTTAAACAAATCAACAAGCAAAAAACAAAGAACCCCATTTTTAAAATGGGCAAAAGACATGAACAGACACTTCTCAAAAGAAGATATGCAAGTGGCCAACAAGCATATGAAAAAAATGCCCAACATCACTAATCATCAGAGAAATACAAATCAAGACCACAATGAGATACCTTCTCACACCAGCCAGAATGGCTGTTATTAAAAAATCAAGAAACAACAGGTGCTGGCAAGACTACAGAGAAAAGAGAATGCTTACACACTGTTGGTGGGAATGTAAATTAGTTCAGCCACTGTGGAAAGCAGTTTGGAGATTTCTCAAAGAGCTTAGAACTACCATTCGACCCAACAATCCTATTACTGGGTATATACCCAGAGGAAAATAAATCATTCTACCAAGAAGACACATGCATGCCTATGTTTATTGCAGCACTATCCACAACAGGAAAGACATGGAATTAACCTAGGTGCCCAAACACAGTGGGTTGAATAAGGAAAATGTGGTGCATATACTCTATGGAATACTACACAGCCATTAAAGAGAACAAAATCATGTTCTTTGCAGCAACATGGATGCAGCTGGAGGCCACTATATTAAGCAAATTAATGAAGGAACAGAAAACCACATTATCACTCAAGTAGGAGCTAAACGATGGGTACTCATGGGTGTAAAGATGACAACAATAGACACTGGGGACTACCAGTGGTGGGAGTGAGGGAAGGGAGCAAGGGATGAGAAACAAACTATTGGGTACTATGCTTAGTATCTGGGTGACAGGATCGACTGTATCCAAACCTCAGCATCACACAATATACCTAGGTAATAAACCTGCACATGAACTCCCTAAATCTAAAATAAAAGTGGAAACTTTTTTTTAAAGAAATTGTGGTCTATTCCTATAACAGAATGCTAGTCAACAATAAAAATGAAAAATTAGTGATACATGCAACAACATGGATGAATCTAAAAAAAAAATGCCAGTGAAAGAAGCCAAAGACAAACTATGATTCCATTTACATAAAATTTCAAAGGCCAGGCTTGGTGTTTCCTGCCTGTAAGTCTAACACTTTGGAAGGCTGAGGCAGGAGGATCACTTGAGGCCAGGAGTTCAAGAGCAGCCTGGGCAACATAGTGAAACCTCAACTCTACAAAAAAAAAAAAAAAACAAACAAAATTAGCTGGGTGTGGTGGTATGCTAGCTATTAGGGAAGCTGAGGTGGGAGGATCACTTGGGCCCAGGAATTTGAGGTTACAGTAAGATATGATTGCACAAGAGCAATCTGGACATTACAGCCTGGGTGACAGAGTAAGATCTTATCTCTAAAAAATATAAATAAAAATTAAAAAATAAAACTCCAGGCCAGGCACGGTGGCTCACGCCTGTAATCCCAGCGATTTGGGAGGCCAAGGCTAGTGGATCACCTGAGATCAGGAGTTCAAGACCAGCCTGGCCAACATGGTGAAACCCCGTCTCTACCAAAAAATTAGCAGGGCATGGTGGCACATGCCTGTAGTCCCAGCTACTTGGGAGGCTGAGGCAGAAGAATCACTTGAACCCAGGAGGCAGAGGTTGCAGTGAGCCGAGATCCCACCACTGCACTCCAGCCTCGGTGACAGAGTGAGACTCTATCTCAAAAAAATAATAAATAAAATAAAATAAAACTCCATAGTAGAAAAAACTAATCTAAGATGATAGAGGTCAGGATAGGTGTTGTCTAGGAGTAAAGATGGTAATGGCTAAAAAGTGACATAAGGCTACCTTATAAGGATGCCTTCTAGAGGGATAGGAATGTTTTGGATCTTTATCTGAGTGGTAGTTACACCACATTCCCAAATGTAAAAATTCACCAAGCAGTAAATTTAAAATGTTATGCCTTTTATGTAAATTGCACCTTAATTTTTTAAAAGCAAAAACATGAAGTCAAATGAATGAACAGCTCTATTCTTAAAAGTCCTGCTACAAGCCCTCAACCGGTTGCCAAGGATGACTCTACAGTTGGTACCTCCAGCCTCATTAGGGCAGAAGGCAACAGAGAGCTGGGGCTAGGCCAAGCCTCTGGAGCTGCCAGTGTAGAGAAAACACTTGCCCCCACCAGTGAGTTATGATTAAGAATTTTCTTTCTGGCCTCCAAGTGTTTTACTGGCTCATCTATCAATCTGTCAGGGCGGCCATCAAGATGAGAGCAGCAGAAAACTAACAGCTCACACCCAAACAGCCTGAATAATTCAACACCCACCACAGCCTCCGGACATCAGGATCACGAAGCTAATTTTTTATTAATTTATCAGGCTCTGCAGTTTATTTCCATGGCCCTTGAGGCTCAGAGAGTAGGTGTGGCACATCCATAGGCCAAGAGGGGACAGACTAAATTTATAAAGGCTGGGGTATCCCATCCTGATGTTTGAGGCAGAAAAAGGGAGAATGGACACCCAAATCAGTCGATGCTCTGAACAGGGAGGAGAAAAAGCAGATATAAAAGTCACAAAACATAGGTGTAAGACCCTGGGGTCAGCTCCTCCTTGTTTATATGGTCTTGAGCAAGTCTTTTGCTTCTCTGAGCCTCAGTTTCCCTGTTCCAAGATGTGCATGGTGACATGATACTTACCTAGTGCTTACTATGTGCCAGCTTCCATTTAAATAACTTATATACATTAACTCATGTAATACTTAAGTGACACTGTGTGGTAGTTATGACATCATTCCTATTGTACAGATGAAGCAAGTGAAGCCAAGAGCTCACCCAACTGAACAAAAGCACCTATGTCATGGGGTGAGAATTGAGGAGTTAGAATTTACAAATCTCCAGACATCATGCCTGGTACACAGTAGATGCTCAATAAAACATAGCCAATGCTGTTGTCATTGTTAAAATATCTTTCAGGGTCATTGTTGCATTCAAGTATAACAACAAATACACGTGATTGATAAGCATTGTGTAACTGTAGGATGGGTAAACTGAGGCAGAGAAAAGTGAAATGGCTTGCCTAAGGCCATACACATTTACACTGAAGATTTTGCTCTTTTCTAAGATCCACCTTGGCTCCTTTATGGAGTTTTTGAGACCAAGTCCCAAGTTTGATAGACCAGACCCCAGCACACAGGCTTTGATTCTGAAAGACCTGGATCCAAATCCTGCCTCTACCACTCCCCAGTTGTGTGAGTAGAACAGGGTCCTTTTTATCACCCTCCCTGTCTGAGAAATAAGATGAAAGAATCAGGCACACAAGAATCATGAGCAGAATTGGATGAGAGGGAGCAAGAGATCAGGGTTTGCCCTCAGCCCTGCCACTTACTCCCTGCAGGACCTTGGACAAGCTGACTTCTGCTTAGTTTTCTTATCTGCAAAATGGGGATTATAATTCCATAAGATAATGTTAGAAATCTTGGGTTTGTCCAAAACCAAACCCAAGAATAAGGAGGACCTGAAAATGTATATTTCTAGCAAATTCCCAAACAATGTTGATGCCACTGGTTTGGGGACCACACTTGGAGAATAATAAATCTATAGGAAAGACAGGTGGGATGGAGTTCAAATCAAAGCTCTGCCATTTCTTTGCTGTGTGACCTTGGGAAAGCTACTTGGCCTCTCTGAGATCCAGTTTTTCTCTCTTAAAATGCAGCAAATGATGTCTACTTCACAGAGTTGTTAAGATCAGAGGTAATAGAAAAAGTACCTGATACGTAAGAGGCTCTCGACAGAGGGCAGCTGTAGGTGACAGTCTCTTGAGGTGCATGAAAATAAGGTTTTCAATGAAGACCACCACCAACAGAATAGCCTCCTTGAATTTGTTTTTCTGATGGGTAGAGAAGAGAGAGAAGTTTCACAAAACGTAGTTCCATGAAGTCAGCAGCAAAAGACTGGGGCTGGGGAGCTCAGAGGAAATGCTCAGTGACACATTAGGCAGAATGGATGCCCAGATTTGTCTGTGCACACAAAACAGCACTAACCTAAAGAATCAATTAGCTCCCTGCCAGACAAGCTGTCTCACCCCAGGCACCCAGAGAGGGCCTGCCTGCCCCAGCCACCCTGAGCACCACGGAACAAATCTTCAAAGTCATTTTCTTTCTACTTCCGATGTGATTAAGAGACAAGCTGCCTCAACTGGGGGACAACTCCATTAACAACCCTCAGATGGCAAAATGTCATTGGCCAAGATGTCCTGGGAGGAACATTGTTCGCGGGGGGAGGGAGACAGTTGCACTTGCAGGTACAATGTGACCGTTGGCAAATCTGGGCTCTGGGCCTCGGTGTCCTCTTTGTACAAAAGAGAGGAATTAGATTAGCTGACTTCTAAGAACCCTCCAGCTTCAATATTGTATGATTCTATATACAACAGTCTTGAGTGGGGTCAGAAACAGGGATCTGAACGGGATTAAGAAAGTCAGGGGCTTGGAGTGTGGTCTGCTTCAGCACCACAGACAGCTCCAAGCCTCTGGGCATCCCAAGAAAAATGCCTGAATCTGTGTGAAGGCAGATGTGTGTATGAGTGACGTTGACATTATAGTTTAAGTCAAGGGTCCTCAATCACAGCACTATTGGCATTTGGGGCCAGATAACTCTGGAATTTTTCCCATGTATTGCAGAATGTTTATAAGCACCCACCCCACACCACCCTCAAGTCATGACAATCAAAATCATCTCCCAGACATCGCCAGACATCCCCAGTGAGTGGGAACAAAATCACCTCCACCTGAGAACCAGCAATCTAAGTAAACAGCTCTCCCTGCAGTGCACAGCTGGGATCACCCTCATTGCCCCAGTCCTGAGTCTGTCCTTCTAGACTTAAAGAATCCAGGAACCTAAAACTCTATATTTATCTCTTCTGGTGAGCAGCAGTAAACAGGTTTAAAAAAAAGGTAAACAAGTTTTTAAAAGAATTACAGACTGCAGTAAGTGCTGTAGAAAAGATCAACAGGAGGATATGATTAAAAAGATAATATGAGAACACATGTCACTTTAAATAAGGTGGTTGAGAAGGGCCTCCCTGAGTAGGTGACAATTGAACTGACACCTGAAGGTTGAGAAGGGACTACTTGTAGGAAAATGTGGGGACATTCATTTCAGGCAGAAGAGACAAAAAGTTCCAAAGCTCTGATGTTGGAGAGAGTTGATTATGTTTGAGGAAAAACAAGGAGGTCAGTGTGGCCTCCTGTAGAGTGAGAGAGGGAAGAACAGCAGAGATGAGGCAGGAGAAGAGCAGGAGAAGGATTTTAAACTAAATCCCTGGGGAACACTTCAGGTGCTAGTGGAAGCCTCCCCTCCTGGGTCTTCAAGACCCACAGCAAAAGCCTTAGGCCTCCTTCACTGTAAGAAGCCACCACGGCTGCAGACCAAGCCCACACTTTCAGCTAAAGGTGAGATCAGTGTCTTACAGGCTGCTCAGAAAACTAAGTTTTTCTACAGCTTATGAAAGCTCCCCCTATTTCTAACCAGAGGTCAAGATCAAGAAGTTGCAGCACACTTTGCAGCATCCAGGGAACAGGGTCTGCCCTTCCTTAAACACATGTCTTGCCCTAGATCCCATGGTGTTATCAAGCTTTTGAGAGCATCTTGTGACTTAGTAAGGTGGCATGATGTGGGGCAAAAGAGAGAAAATAGCAATTTCCTGGGGATTTATGACCATATAATTTAGTTTTCCTGCCTGAATCATTGTGTCTTCTCTCTTCCCCCAAGCGTCCTTCAAAAGTCAATGACTTCAACACTTTGCAAACCTGTCCTGGTCCTACCTTCCCAAGGGGAAGCTCAGAGCACCTCTGTCATTCCTGTTTATTGAATGGAGCATCAGGGGGCAGTGAGGTCTTGTGAGAAGTTCCCAAAGCCCCCACATTAAAAAGCAATTCTAGGCACCTGGCTGCTTCTAAATGTACATCTTTATTCATCTCTACCTTAAAAAAAATGTATCTGTAGGGGAAAGTCAACAGCTTGATTCCCAGAAAATTTCAATGAAGAGATGGACACCACTTCAGACCTTGACAAGGACAGTGGAAATTGAATTCCAGGAAAGAGAATTATAATAGTAGCACTTACACATAAGAATTCTAGAATCAAACAGAACTGAGTTCAGACACCAGATCCTCTACTTACTATCTGGGAGGCCCTAGGAAATTGATTTTACCTTTCTGAGCTCAAGCTCCCTCATTTGTAAAATCGAAATAATAATACCAATAATTTCATAGGGTTCTGGAGGAGAAGGGAACTACATAAGATTCTGATAGAAGGTAAGCTTCATGACAGCAGGTCCTGAGATTGTGTTATGATTGTAAGGACATGTGTTCCTTCTATAAATATTGATTGAGTTCATAATCTTATGAGTGAGTGCATATGTGAATAAATAATGAACCAGAGGAAAGGGGATGCTTGTTATGTAGTGGCAGAGTTTAGCCATACTGTCACCTGTAGTAAAATGGAAATTAAATAATATGTATAGTCTATTCAGTTATCTAAACAAGGGGATTTCCTGGCAAAATATTAAAGATGACACCTGGTTCTTCTTGCTGTTTATAGTAAAATGCAAGAGGCAAGAGACAACCTGAAGGAATGACTGATAAACAAAAAGAAGCCAGGGCTTGCTGGTTTTGAAAATTGCTTGTGTCTCTAGATGGCAAGTGATGCCAAAATTAAGAAAGATATCTGGGCAAAGGTTGAATCCAGGACACTGTCAGGAAATACAATATAAAGTTGAGGGTGTGACTGTAAAATTCATTATTAATGCCTCATAAAGACCTAAGATAACCAATCAGTCAAACCATGCAACTTTTAATAAGCAAGGGTATTATGCCTCCACTGCCTTGGGATTCTCAGCAGAAGTTTGAGGTAGAGAAAAGTTTATGCCAATGAGATTCATGAGTGTGGCTTTTTTTTCTAATGGAATGAGCCCCCAATAAGATTCACAAAAGACCCACAAAATTTTTAAGAGAAATGTATTGGCAGAAACACAGCCCACTTGTATTGAAAGAAGCATAAGCTGCACAAATTAAAAAGAGGACTTTAGACCCACCCCCACCACATCTACAGAAAAAAGTAAGCTAAAAATACAGCCCATCTTCATGCAGGCTACCTTTATGGAGAAGAAATGATGACTGGGTGATAAAACCAAGAGTTCAATAGGTGAAGCCAAGAGCCATGGAGATTTAGTCAGGCCTTGAGTCTTGTTGAGTAATAAACAGCTAGATTATCTGCACATAAGTAGACAAAATTTGCCTAGATATGACTGCTTAACTCAAAAATTTTAAATCAATAAAATTCATCTTTTAAAGTGAGTTTCTTGAATTAGAAAAGAAAGTCACTGAAGCCATGGAGGGAACATTTGTGGCAAAGCGTCAGCCATCCTGAACTCCTCCCTCCTCACTGTTAATCCGTGAGGTGTTAAGATCATGCATGGCTAAAGGAATCCCAATGAACAGACCTGGCCAATCTGAGTCCTGCATTCCTCTGGTCAGGGTGTTGGTCAGGGGTGGGGGACATATGGCTCCATCTGTCAATGAGATAGCAAGAGGTTTTACAGAGACTTCTGGGACAGGGTCAAATTCTCCTTCCCACTGGCCTCAGTATTGAAAAGGCACAGGAGTAGGAGCCACCATTAAGATTACTCGAGCACAGAGGAGGAACAAAAGGAGAAAAAGGCTTCATAGTGGAGGTAACATGAGTTGCGTCTTGATGACTAATTTAGTAGGCAAACAAAGTAGGGGAGAAGAGAACTCCATGAAGAGGGAAGAGTGTGAACAAGGGCTAGGAGGATTCAGACAGCATAGAGTGTTTCATGGAAATAGAACATCCTGGCTGAAGGGAAAGGAGCATGTGGAGGTAGGATGAGAGATGAGACAGGAGCAGGCCTCAGGCCTAATTATGAAAAGCCTTGTAAGCCACGTAGGTGACTTTGGAATTGAGGGCTCTGGGAAGGGCACAGTCAGGCTTTATTTTTTGTTTTTGTTTTTGTGTTTTGTTTTGTTTTGTTTTGTTTTTTGTTTTAGAAAGATCACTCTGGCTACTCCCTGGTGGAATGACTAGAGGAGTCTTGCATAGTCTATATTCATCTTAAATAGCCTTCAAGACCACAGACTATGAGGGCCAGAACTTTGTGGGTGGGGCCCCGAGGACAGGTCCTTGAGACCGAAAATCTGGGAATGCAACTTGTTTGAATTGAAGTCTTCAGTGGCCTCATCACATACAGCCTCTTGGCATCTGATTTAGTTTAGGTTCTCCAAGAAGCAGACCCTGAGACAGATTTGGGCACAGTTATTTATCTGGGAAGTGACCCTAAAAAGCACTGGTAGGAAAGTGGGGAAATAAGATAGGGAAGGATAGAAGCCAATAGATAGGGCATTGATGAGCAGGGCAGAGGTGACTGGGGCTCAGTCCCACTGGGTACTTCTGGGAGACAGTGTAGAATATGCTCAGAGTGGTCTCACTTGGAAGGTGAGGGAACTAGGGTATTTATCCACAAACTAACCGTCCTTGCTTGGTTTGAAGGGCTGTGTCTCCCCAGCATTTCTGGCCAGTCCCATTGCAGACTGAGTATGCATATGGCTGAAGAATGCCTTCAGACAGGAAGACTCAGGTGCTGGCCACAGAAGTCTGTGAGCATGTTCAGGGTCCATGAATGCTGGAGGGCTGCAGGTGGGACACCAACAGCATTTGCTACAGGAGGCATGAATGATTCTTGACATTGAAGGAAGGAAAAGAAAAGGAAGGGAGGGAGAGCAAACAAGAGGTAGAACAGAAGAATGTAAACAGGAAAGAAAAGAAAGAGAAAGGAAGGAAAAAGGACTATTTACTGAGCACTTACTATTTACCAGGCATTATAACAGAAGTCTTCATTTATCTTATTTAAATTTCACTGTGCTGTGAGGAGAAACTGATTGTCCTGTTTTCCAGATAAGATATAAAGGCTTGGATAGGCTGAAATAAACGACAAACAGATCTGGAGTTAAAACTCATGACCCCAAATTCTGAAAAAATTATCATCCTTCTTACTCTTCGGTGTGATGTGGGGTTGACACGTCTGGAAATGCAGGCCCCAGGCTGCAGTCCCATGGTCACATGACACTCGGCTGGTGGTAGCAGATGTGCTCTGTCAGACCCGTTGACCCTGCAGGAATAATTTATGCCTGAGGTTTTTGCTTATTTGAAAATAACTGGCTGATGGATGGTGCTAAATGAAGACCATCTGCAGATGTGAATTATTTAACGGCAGGAGCATTTTTCGGGTGCAGGGAAACTCACTGGGGCCCAAGCAAGGGGCCTGGATCCACTCTCTTGTGACCCATCACATCCCAATCAGAGAGTGGAAATACTCTTGGGGGAATAGATTTGAAATTTCCCAGAAGCAGCCCTGCCCCACCCCTGCCTCCCACACAGTCCCCCAGCTTCTCTGTCATGATTACTCACAGATGACCTGGATGAAATCATCTCATAAGGGAGTTATTGGGGAGAGAAGCGATGCCACTGACAAGGTATGTGAGCTTGGGCAGGGGCAGGTCACATTACCTCTTCAAGCCTCAGTTTCCTTATCTGTAAAATAGGCATGATATGGTTTGGGTCTGTGTTCCCACCCAAATCTCATGTCAAATTATAATTCCCAGTGTTGGAGGTGGGGCCTGGTGGGAGGTGGTTGGATCATGGGGGTAGAGTTCTCATGAATGGTTTAGTGCTGTCCTCGAGATAGAGTTCTCAGGAAATCTGGTTGCTGAAAAGTACGTATTACCTCCCCCCACTTGCTCTTCCTCCCGCTCCCACCACATAAGATGTCTGCTCCTACTCTGCCTTCTGCCATGATTGGAAGCCCCCTGAGGCCTCTCCAGAAGCAGATGCTGCCATGCTTCCTGTACATCCTACGGAATTGTGAGCCAATTAAACCTTTTTTCTTTATAAATTACCCGGTCTTATGTATTTATTCATAGCAATGCAAGAATGGACCAATACAAGGGATTATATTAGGGATCTCCAGAGAAGCAGAACCAATGGTGGAGAGAAAGGGAGAGAGAGAGAGACAGAGGGAGAGAGAGAGAGAGAGAGAAATTGGTTCACATGATTAGGGAGGCTTAGCAGGCCTACAATCTGCCATCTGCAAGTTGGAAACCCAGAAAATTTGGCAATGTACTTCAGCCCAAGTCCAAAGCCCTGAAAACCAGAAACACCAATGGTGTAAGTCTCAGTCTGAGGGCAGGAAGAAACTGATGTCCCAGCTCAAGCACTCAGGCAGAGAGCAAATTCAACCTTTCTTGGCTTTTGTGTTCTAGTCAGGCCCTCAGTGGGTTGGCTTATGCCCACCCACCTCCGGAAGGGCAATGTGCTTTATTCAGTTCACCTATTTAAACACTAATCTCTTCCAGAAACATCCTCACAGGCACACCCAGAAATAATGTTTAACCAGATTATCAGCATCTTTTAGTCCAGCCAAATTGACACACAAAATGAACCTTCTCAGGGATCATTAGGACTTAACTGAAAAATCCATGAGTCAATACATGAGTTACAGACCCTCTGGAGCCCACCCATATCCCCTTGCCCTCACCACTTCAGGGCACATTGGCCCAATTCTGTTGTCAGCACCTGAGGGCTTTCTCAGGTCCAAGGTTGGCCTGAAGTGCTGGGGCATCGGTGCCTCCTAGCAACATCCTCAATGATCAAATACCAAAGCTCCCCAACTCCTCAGGTAAGATAACTCTGAGGCATGTTTTCCACACAGTTTCCCAGAGCCTCCCAGTGGGATTGGGCTCCAGCCACCCACAGTGATGACTGGTTTAATAATGGATGCATTTTAGGCTTCTTCCCTTCCTTGTCTCACTTCCCTGTTCCCCTTCTGTTTCCCTCATTTCCCATATAAACTTATATATATATACACATATACATATATAAACTCATTTCCCATATTAACAAATCCTTGTCTCCAGCTTTGCTTCCAGGGGAACCCAAGCTAAGATATCATTTCAGTTGCTGTTGTTGTTTTATGAGGTTTAGAATCCTAGGGAATAGACAACACCCATATTCTGTGTGGGTCCAGAAGTCAGAGCCAGCATTAACCTGGAGGAGCTTCAGGGAGGCAGATTCAGCCTCTACAGAAGAAAAGCCCCTCTTCACTCCCCCTAGGCAAGATCACACGAAGGAATAACTGTTGTAAGTGATGCCCATGTGGTGCTGATGCTGTTACACAACTGAGACCCCTGCAGGGCTCAGGACTGAGACCCCTAGGCTCACCTGACTCCATGATCTACCTTGATCACTGAGCCTGCACTGGCAGCTCTCACTAGACCTGCCCTGGCTCCATTTTCAGTCATCACCCTACATGGGGCCCAGCCTGGCTATGGATGGTGCTGGCCCCTCATTAAAGTACCTGATGGGGAGAGAGGAAGAAGAGCAGATGATGGAAGGATAGCTGCTAGCTAGTAGGAGGACATTACAGTGAAACCCCAGGGGAACTAAGGGACACTAGTCACCAGCTTGGAGGGCAGCCCAGAAGAATGCTGGCTGGGGCATGGAAATTTGTGCCAAGACTGGTCAAGCCCTCCCTAATCCTCCTCTTCCACCACCATCATCACCACCACCATCATCACAATCATTATCATGATCACTACCACCACCATCATCATCACCATTATCACCACTACCAACACTATCATGATCATCACTATCACCATTATTATCATCCCCATCATCATTATCATTTCAGCCATCACCACCATCATCAGCACTATCCCCACCATCACCATCAACATCAGCATCACTATTATCACCACCACCATTATCACAACCATCATCATTATCACCACCACCATTATCACCATTACCACCACAATCACTATCACTACCACCATCATCACCATCACCATTATTATCATCCCCATCATTATTATCATTACGACTATCACCACCATCATCACCACTATCCCCACTATTACAGTCATCATCATCATCACTATCATCACCATCACCATTATCACAACCATCATCATTATCATCACCACCATTATCACCATTACTACCACTATCATCACCATCATAATCACCACAATGACCACCATCATCACCATCATCCTCATCATCACCACCACCATCATCATCATGGCAGTATTACTCATTTTTATGAGCTTGACACTGTAAATGAAGTATCTCTATCCCTATCATAACCCTGCCTCTAAGGACTGTTAGTTACTCTCATTTTACCAAGGAGGAAACTGAGGGTCATACAGGTAAAAAATCATTCCTAAAGTCATCACAATCACAAAATACAATCAAAATACCTGGTTTGAGGTAGGTTCAAACCAGATCCAGCTGGTGTCAAAATCCATGATCTTTCAAACACCCTCCATATTCATCCATTCATTCAAAAAAACACATCAATCTGTTGAGCACCTACTATGTGCTGGTCACTCTATTGTATTATGCCCAATCCTCTGAATAGCCCTGAAAAGTTACCCAGAAGATTGAGGCTCAGAGGGGTAAAGAGACTTGTCCAAAGCCACACAGCTGGTGAGTGCCAGAAGTAGATTCAAACCCAGGTCTGTATGGCTTTAAAGCCTGAACTTTTGCAACTTCATGGTCTTTCATTCACTCATTCATCCTTCATTAATGAATGAATTAATCAGGCAAATATCCATTTTACAATGCCCACTTTCTGCTAGCTGCCTGGACACACCTTCTGGGGGCCTCCTTTGTGGTAGGGTTTTGGGGTAACAAGCAAGGGCACACAGAGCTCAAACAGAAGTTTGGGGAGGCATATGCTCAAAAAGACCAGAGAAAGTGCTCTGTGAATTGAAAGATCACTTCTAGCTGGGGAAAATCAAGGCAGGCTTCCTGGAGGAGGAGGGTGTCTGGGCTGGGCCCTGAAGAGTGAAGAGGCATTTCCCACAATGAAATAAGAAAGAAAAGCATTCTAGGCAAAACGACCAGCACAAGAAAAAACATGGGGCTGGGAAGTTGGTGGGGGATGGTACAAACAAGGATTGGATTGGTTAGGCTGGAGGGTGGGGCAAATACAAGAGTAAAAATGGAAGCTGGACAAGAGGTCGGGAAGGTTCATGGGGGCTGGGGGCCAATTGTGCAGGGTGTTCGATGTCAGCCCGAAGGAGCCTGGGACTTCATTTCACTGGCAAAAAGCAGCCATTGAGGGCTGTTAAGATTAGGAACATGAGAGCAGCTGGGGTTTCTGACTCCCCGCAGTGCACAGAGGGCAGACTCCAGCAGGGAGACCTATTATAGAAATCTTTGTAGGAGGCTGCTACAATAGTCCACGTGAGACTCGGGGCTCAGACTGGGACAATGAGTTGGGAAAGGGCAGCTATAAGTGGAGAAGCTTCCTAAGCTGCAATGTGCCTGCACCAAGAAGGGGCTGATGACCTCCACCACCAGGTTGCATGGCCTCCCAGTTTGATATGCACAGAGGAGAGGAGGTGGGGCTGGTTCTGTGAGTTTCCAAAACTAGAAGGTCCTTGCACTGGTGCATTCCATTTTTGTGAGCCTCCATTTCCTCAACTATAAAATGAGAATGGTAACATCCACCTTAGCTTTCCACTTTTATTATTGTTATTATTATTATCATCATCATCATCAGTATTATCAGGAACCACTGGTATCATACATTCTGAAACACTCATTTTTTAGATTATGTTACAAACATTTATTGAGCACCTACTGTGTGCCAGGAACTGAGGATATAATGAGTAAATAAGCATCAGTTCCTGACCTTGCAAAGTTAAACATCTAGGAGAAAGGCCAGAGCATTTGACAAATGATGTGTGATCCAGTGAGGGTCTTCATGGGGACATCGGGAAAGATTCTCAAAAATAAATTGACTTGAACCAAGCAAAGAGGGAGATGGTGTTCCTGGCAAAGGGAACAGCATGTGCAAAAGCCTGGAGGCTCCAATAGTGACAAAGCTTAGTCAAGAAAGTTAAAGACATCCCTTTTGCCTAAATCATAAGGTGAAAGGCACTGAGGCAGAGATGGAGAGAGGGCAAGAACTAAGGTTGGAAAGGTCAGGAGGGGCCAGATCACAAAGGGCCTTGTAGATCTTTATCAGAGGTCTGGGATTTATCCACGGCAATAGGGAGCCATAGAGGGCTATAAACAGAAGAGAGACAGATTGCCCTTTGGGAAGATCAGCCTGGCTGCAGGGTAGAGCACAGGTTGCTGGGGGGTAATAGTGGAAACAGAATGATGAGTAGAAGATGATGAACTGAAAGTGGCAAAGGCTTGCAGGGTTTGAGAATGTTTTGGAGGATCTCTTCTTCAACAGCCAGTTGGGGGGAAAATAATTAAACTCATGGCCATCACTGTTTTTATAAACTAAAGCACAAGAAATGGGAAGGCCAGTATTGGGCACTCTGACCATATGTCCATTTTCTTGTACCCCATCACTACCCTATGGCTCTGTCTGGAGTAGACAGAGAGGACAGGCTGACCTGGGTCACCCAACTCCCTCCAACCACTGGCCAAGAAATAATTGCATTTCTTAGCTCCCAAAGGCAGCCAACCCAGATGAAGGGGACCCAGAGTCAATAGCAGTGCCTGGAGGTACTCCTGAGTTAATTGGGAGCATGCAGGATGCGCCATTTCTCTGTTTTCATCTTGATGGATCTAATTAGACTAGCAGTGACCATACTAAATGGACTGACCCCAGCAGACTGAGGCCATGGCCAGATGTCCCGGGACGCAGGCACAGAGCAGTCTCTGCAGAGATAACTGTCTTTCTAAAAAGAGAGCGGCGGGGGAGGGGGAGAAGTGCAGCTGGGGCTTACTGGACACATGTAACCTGGAGAAGTCAGAGTTCCATGGTCACAACAATGGAGTCATGTCAGGGTACACCAAGATGCATTAGGTATTTCTGGAGCTTCCACTTACTGTGTAAGTGGGTGTGTTGGGTGCTGGGAGACAGCTGTGGATGAGACAGACTTGGCTCTACCCTCCCAGAGATGACAGTCTGGCAGGGAGACAGGTATAGTCAAATGGTCACACTTCAGAGGAAATAATAATCGTGGCACAGCAGCAAAGGAGAGGACCCAGGGCTGCAAGAAGGAGTCTGTATTAGTCTGTTTTCACATGGCTATAAAGAATACCTGACACAGGGTAATTTATAAAGGAAGAGGTTTAATTGACTAACAGTTCAACATGGCTGGGGAGGCCTCAGGAAACTTAACAATCACGGCAGAAGGCAAAGGGGAAGCAAAGCAGGTCTTACATGGCAGTAGGAGGAGAAGGCAAAGGAAGCCGCACACTTTTAAACCATCAGATCTCGTGAGAACTCCCTCACTATCATGGGAACAGCATGGGGGAACCACCCCCATGATCCAATCACCTCCCACCAGGACCCTTCCTCGACATGTAGGGATGACAATTTGAGATGAGATTTGGGTGGGAACACAGAGCCAAATCGTATCAGAGTCCTAAGAACTGTCGCTGACTGAGCTCTTAGCCCACATGTGTATTAACATGTAATTGTTCATTACAACAACCCTAAGAGGCAGGTTTTATTATTGTCAGCCCCATTTTGCAGAGGAGGAAGCTGATGCCCAGAGAGGGGAAGTAACTTTTCCAAGGCTGCCCAGCTGGGAAGTGGGAGCACTGGGATTTGAAGCAGGTGTTCCAGCTCCACAATCTAGGAGTCAAACCAGAAGGAGAGGGCTGCGCAAAGGCCCTGGGAAGGGAAGGGGCCTGAATAGGGAAGAAACCACCAGCAGGTGGGAGAGCAAGAGGACAGAGTCGGAGGGGTTGGGGTACAGTCAGGGCCAGCCCACACAGTCACATCCGGGACACACATCTTTATTTTGAGGGCAGTGTGGAACCACAAAAAGATTTTAAGCAGGGGAGGGATGTCATCAGCTTTGATTCTTAAACCCCTTTACCCCAAACCTGGCCCCCAAGCAGAGGCAGCAGGTCAGAAACAGAACATACATTTGACAGATGAGGAGCTTGAGGCCAAAGAAATGGGGTGCCTCAACATCCAGCCGAGTCAGACAGAAATGAGCCATGATAGCAGCTCTCCCTCTGGCATCCCCCACCCCGGGATTCTCCAGAGAGAAGAGGCTAGAGAGACTTGAGGAGGTCCACTAGCTGGGTGACCTTGGGCAAGCCCCTTGACCTCTCTGTGCTCCCACTTCCCTTTCTGTAAAATGGGGACATAGGGTGACCATCAAAGACTGTTCTAGTTCTGACCTGCCCAGGTCACATGGCTTCTTTCTTTCCCTTTCTGTTCTTCCTTCCATCTATTCTATAGAAAGCACCTACTGAGTGCCAGGCACTGCACCTGTACCAACCCCACCGTGGGAAGAAGATCGTGGACCATGTTGGGGTTATTTCATGTCCCTACATTGTGCCCCTGACAAAGGAGGTACCCAGCACCTGCCAAGTTCACCCAGAACTCCCGCCTCACACCACCCTCATGCCACCCGCTCCAACAGCTGTGGCCGCAGCAGGCCTTCCATTTCCACACACAATCATTTTCCTTCTGATGAAAACAGATGGAGAAACTTGGAAGGAAACACAGCCCAGGTCCTGCCCCGGAGCTCATGGCTCTGGGATGGGAAGAGGGCCAGAGCTCATTCCAACACCAGCTGCCTCGAGCAGCTCCAGCCTCTGAGGCCAGCTTCCCTGGAGACTTCAAGTGCCTTCTCTGCAGACCTTGGGGAGCTCAGATTGCACTTCCTTTAGCTCCAGTCTCTCCAAGCCTGGCTTCTCCTCCTGCTCACACAGCCCCAACTCCCTTGGCAGGCGCCCGGTGCAGCCTCCATGCATCTCTCTCTCCAAGGACTTCAAGGCCCCCTGGCCCACCCCCACAAACCTCCACCCACCCCTAGATGCAGGAGCGCAAGAATGTCCGCTTCCATAGGAGCCCCAGCTTAGAACAAACACTGCTCACAGGGTGATCTAGGGTGGACATTTATAAACCATTATAAAAAGTTTTAAAATGAACAGACTTTTCAACCCAACATTTTTTTCCTAGAAATTTATCTTACAGAAATATTTGCCCAAGTATGTAGTCATGTACTTATCTATAATTTAAAAATCCAAGAAGCTCTGAAAATTGAATGTGTTTCCATCCTAAGTTTGGAGCCAACACTTACTTGGCACGAAACCCTCCCTGAAGAAACGTGAGGCTATTTATAGTCTTTATTTATGCCACTTAGTGGGTATATTTATGTGTTGCACTGAAGAATTTATCCATGTGTTTGATTATAGGATGCTGCTCTGAGCCCCCTCCAATCTCTGGTTTTATTACATAGTATATGATATATATACCTTAAAACCCACCTAAAATCTATAAACACTGAATCCCAAAATACAGGTGGCTCCAGGTGGTTGGATAAGGGATTGTGGACCTGTACTAGCAAACAGTGGAGATTACCTAGAAGTCCACCCATCAGGAACTAGTTAACAAACTAGGACCCACCCATACAATGGGGTTGCATTATCAATACTAAAGGGTCACTGCCAACCCTCTCAGGCAGATTCTGTCATCATGTCAATTGTACAGATGAGAACACTGAGGCTGAGAAGTCACTTTCCCAAGAAAGATTATGCTAATATAGAAAGAATAAGGTAGTGCTGCTTCTGCACAGTAAAAGAAACTACCATCAGAGTGAACAGGCAACCTACAGAATGGGAGAAAATATTTACAATCTACCCATCTGACAAAGGGCTAATATACAGAATCTACAAAGAACTTAAACAAATTTACAAGAAAAAACTCAAACAACCCCATCAAAAAGTGGGCAAAGTATATGAATAGACAATTCTCAAAAGAAGACATTTATGCAGCCAACAGACACATGAAAAAATGCTCATCATCACTGGCCATCAGAGAAATGCAAATCAAAACCACAGTGAGATACCACCTTATACCAGTTAGAATGGCAATCATTAAAAAGTCAGGAAACAACAGGTGCTGGAGAGGATGTGGAGAAATAGGAACACTTTCACACTGTTGGTGGGACTGTAAACTAGTTCAACCATTGTGGAAGACAGTGTGGCAATTCCTCAAAGATCTAGAACTAGAAATATCATTTGACCCAGCCATCCCATTACTGGGCATATACCCAAAGGATTATAAATCATGCTGCTCTAAAGACACATGCACACGTATGTTCATTGTGGCACTATTCACAATAGCAAAGACTTGGAACCAATCCAAATGTCCGTCAATGATAGACTGGATTAAGAAAATTTGGCACATATACACCATGGAATACTATGCAGCCATAAAAAAGGATGAGTTCATGTCCTTTGTAGGGACATGGATGAAGCTAGAAATCATTCTGAGCAAACTATCACAAAGACAGAAAACCAAACACCGCATGTTCTCACTCGTAGGTGGGAACTGAACAATGAGAACACTTGGACACAGGGTGGGGAACATCACACACCAGGGCCTGTCGTGGGGTGGGGGGAGGGGGGAGGGATAGCATTAGGAGATATACCTAATGTAAATGATGAGTTAACAGGTGCAGCACACCAACATGGCACATGTATACATATGTAACAAACCTGCACATTGTGCACATGTACCCTAGAACTTACAGTATAATAAAAAAAAAAGAATAAGTTAGTGCTGATCTGAAAAGAATTAGAAGAAACACCCAAAATCAAAATGCATTGTTGATTTTTTTTAAAAGCAAGTTATAAAAACAATAGGTAGGATGTAAATCCATTGCATAAATCCAATCCACGTGTTTGTGTGTGCACAGGAAAATGACAGAAGGATCCACTCTGAATGGTTAATAGTGACGCACCCTTGGGAAGGGAAATTAGGGATGGATGGAAGTGTTTTGACTTTATAATTTTTCTCCTCTTAGGAGTTATTTGGGTTATTTGGGTTTTTACCAGAACTATGACCATGACCTCAGCCATTTTTAAATTTGCTAAGGTCAAAAAGCTCCTGGAATGAAGACCCCAGTGGCTTACCTGATTCACGCTTAGGATTCATACGAAAGCCTAAAGGACTGAGCAGGACTATTCCTGACAGCAAGGAGGGCGTGGTCTGGTAGGAACAAGGACAGGGGGCCCTGAAGGGAAGGAGGAAGGAGATGAGCGGAGGAGGAGAAAAAGCACGGCACTTGAGTATTTGGGGGGTGTGTGTGTGTGTGTGTGTGTGACCATTTCCTTTAAAAATCAATGAGAATGTTTAGAATGGTGAACAGTGGAAATGGGGACTTTCTGTGCATCATCCCATTTGATTCTCATTATAATCCATGGGGTGGGCATGCTTAGCCCATTTTACAGATGAGAAGACCAATGACCACAGAGGCCAAAGAATCTGCACAACAGCATCCAGCCAGTGGGTAGAAGACACAGGATTCAACCTGGGGTCAAAGTAAACAGTCTCTTCACTCTATTTGCAGCTTGTCTCCCAAGGGGAAGGGAGAAGAACTTACATTCTAAAAAGGTAGTGAATAATTAAATAGAACGTAAGAAGTGATAAGTGTAGAAGTGGGTAAAAGGATCAGAGCTGTGACATTTAAATGGGCTAGTTGATGGAGTTCACTGAGAAGGTAGCAGTGGCACAAGACTGGAAGGAAGGGAGGGAATTGGATGAATGGTCGTCTAGGGGAAGGGTACACCAGATGGAGGCAACGGCCAGTGCAAAGGCCAGGAGGCAGGAGTGATCTGACATTTGTAAGGAATAAGAAGGATACAGTATGGCAATTCCTCAGGGATCTAGAACTAGAAATACCATTTGACCCAGCCATCCCATTATTGGGTATATACCCAAAGGAATATAAATCATGCTGCTATAAAGACACATGCACACATATGTTTATTGTGGCACTACTCACAAGGGCAAAGACTTGGAACCAACCCAAATGTCCAACAATAATAGACTGGATTAAGAAAATGTGGCACATATACACCATGGAATACTATGCAGCCATAAAAAAGGATGAGTTCATGTCCTTTGTAGGGACATGGATGAAGCTGGAAACCATCATTCTCAGCAAACTATCGCAAGGACAAAAAACTAAACACTGCATGTTCTCACTCACAGGTGGGAATTGAACAATGAGAACACTTGGACACAGGAAGGGGAACATCACACACCGGGGTCCTGTTGTGGGGTGGGGGAAGGGGGGAGGGATAGCATTAGGAGATATACCTAATGTAAATGACGAGTTAATGGGTGCAGCACACCAACATGGCACATGTATACATATGTAACAAACCTGCACGTTGTGCACATGTACCCTAGAACTTAAAGTATAATATATATATATATATATATATATATAAAAGAAGGAGACAGTGAGGCTGGAGCATCATGAGGGAGAGGGAGAGGGAGTGGAGCGGGAATCAGAGTGACCAAGAACAACAGCTGGGTTGCTACAACTGGCTCTTGTGAGCCACTGTGATTGGGTTACTGTTCATTATAAAGGACCATTGCTGAGCTTTAGAAAAGTGTTAAAGATGTAGTCACACCAACTGAGCCTTTCTCCATTAGCAACCAGAGAAAAAGTAAATACTATTCTCACACCCCTCACTGTCGTTTGATTTCTCGTTGCCGTGTGTGATGATCAGTTGTATGCCTCACCTTGGCTAGGCTATAGACCACATTAATCAATCAAACACTTATTTAGAGCGTGTTGTAAAGGTAGTTGTTTTGTTTTTCACCTTTCTCTATCTTTATTCACATACAAAATAAAAAGGCTCTGGAGGTAATTTCTTTCTTCATTTATTAGTAAACTCTTTCTTATTTGTTTGTTGCTCTGAATTAAATCCTAGTGGAGCCTTGGGTAAGCCTTTGCTTTGAGAAATGACTCTCTCTCTCATTCCAAGTAGTTTGAGGAGTCTGTTAGTCTAGACACTCTCCCCTTCCTTGGTTACAGGGTGGCAGTTGTCTCAAACTAGGCTGGTCACTCTGAAGGTATTTTGTAGACGTCACTGATGTTTATAATCAGTTGACATTAAGTAAAGGAGATTACCCTACATAATCTGGGTGGGATTCAAAGGCCTTAAGAGGAGAACTGAAGTTTCCAGGAAGAAGAAATTCCACCCGTAGACTGCAGATCCAGGTCCTCCTCGAGAGTTACAGCGTGCCCTCCTGATGGCTGCATGATGGATTTCAGATTTGCCCAGCCAGCCCCACACTCAGGTAAGCCTTACAATAAATACATCTCTTCATATACACCCCCACTGGTTCTGTTCCTCTGGTTGAAACCTGACTGATATTCCATGTAACCTAACATTTTCTTCTGTATCCTCCACTCCACCAGCTGTGGGATTATTTTGCCCTGTGTGAAATGCTGAGAGGGGTGGGTGGCCATCCTAAAGTTATATGTGACTGCCTTTGAGTGGGCACTCTGTGCTGGACCCTGTGCCAAGGACTATCTCACGCAGTCCTGACAATCACCCTGTGTGGTAGATGCTATGATTAGTCCCACTTGACAATAAAGAAGCTGAGCCTCAGAGAGGTTAAGCAACTTTCCCAAGGACACAGACATGTATGATGACTCCATTATGCCTGACTCCAACACATGGGCTCCTAACCACCATTCCATCAGCAATATCTCCCTGAGACAGAACAAGAAGGACAACGAAAGGGGGCTTGACTGTCCCTCCAACCAAGTGGCCTGGGGAAAAGTTGAGAACAAGGCAGTTGACCAGGACTTGTATTTCAAGGCAGGGACAATAGCCACCTTCATCAGCTAGTTTTGTCTCCTGCCTGTCCTATCCTTGTGTCTCCAAAGAGGACCAGCTGGTGTCCACGTGTCCAGACTCCTGAAACTGACCCCTCTCCCTACACAGTCAGCAGCAAAACAACTGAATTGGCAACGCACCAGCCTCCAGATGGATTAATCAAGGGCCAGGAGTCCTTGTATGGGAGAGAGAATGCTGGATGAGGACTCAGGACACCTGGCTTCTAGCCTGATTCCACCACGAGAGACCCACATGACCTTGGGCACATGACTGAACCTCTCGGAGGCCAAGACTTAAGGAAAGCAAGAATTAAGCACTTACACACTAAGTCCTAAGCTTCTCCCACCTCTATTTCATAGAACGGGGCTGGGAGGTCACATGGCTTGCTCTCATTACACAGCCAGTTAATTGGCAAAGCTGAAATGAAAAACCTAAATCCACCTGACTTCAGAGCCCAAGGTTCCAGGAGGGCCTCTCTGCAATTCCATGGGCCCCAGAGGAGTTTCCAAGCAGCGGGAATTCTGGGCATATGGGAGCTAACCTGGTTCATTGCCCTCTGAGTGGAGAATTTATCGATCTCATTGCAGCTACAGAACGGCCCACAGTTGGAGCATTCCTAAACAAGAAAACACAGTAGCCTCTGATTGATGAGATGCATGGAACCATGCCAGGCAAGCCAATCAACTGGCTGAAATTTGCATATTAATGAAACCTCATAAATAATGCAGAGATGACAAACAGAGTTGAGGCTTGCCACCAGGCAGCAAGCACCAGCCCTCTAAACAGAGGGTCTCAAACCTGAGTGAGCATCAGAGTCTCCTGCAGGGATTGTTATAACACAGATGGCTGGGCTCCACCCCCAGGGTGTCCATTTAGGAGATCTGGGGTGATGTCCAAGAAGTAGCCTTTCCAACCAGTTCCCAGGTGGTATTAACGCTGATGCCAGCCCAGGGACCACATTTTAAGAACTGCTGTTCTAACTCACTGCTGCCCGCTCCTTCCCTCCCTCCCCACGGGGAAGGGCATTGACCACCATGGGTGCCAGGTAGAATCCTGGGTTTGCTGCCCACCAGCTGAGTGACTCCCAGCAAGTTCC
This sequence comes from Homo sapiens, assembly GCF_000001405.40. Classification (NCBI taxonomy): domain Eukaryota; kingdom Metazoa; phylum Chordata; class Mammalia; order Primates; family Hominidae; genus Homo; species Homo sapiens. The sequence continues at coordinate 108,400,607 of NC_000012.12, forward strand.
CTAAGCTATTTGATCCTTAGTCTTTTTGTCATAAAATGGGGCAACAGCACCTATCTCAAGGGGTTACTTGAGGATCAAATGAGAGGATGCTCCAAAAGCTCTGGCCTGGTGCCTGGAGTGTAATAAGAATCCAGGAAAATGACCATTTTTACAAAGGAAATGTCCAGCCACTATGGAGAATCTAAGTCCTTTTTAATGAGCATAGTATTGTTTTAAGATTTTTTCTGAGATAATTTCAGACTTAACAATTGCAAAAATAGTACATAGAACATAAGACCCAGATTCCCCAAATGTTAATATTTTCCCACATTAGCTTAATCACGCTGTCTCTCTCTAAACATATTTAAAGAGCTTTATTTATGTATTCATATACTGTATTTAGAAATACATAACCACATGCATGTATATATAACTATATGCATAGGTAGAATATTCATTTCCTGTTGCTGCTGTAAACACATTACCGCAAATTTAGTGGCTTAAAACAACGTAAATGTATTGCTGACACCTGCATGTCAGCACAGTAAAACTGATTTTGGACTTCTGGCTTCCAAAACTGCAAGAGAATAAATGTGTGGGGGTTTTTTTGCTTTTGTTTTTGTTTTCATTTTTCTTTTGTAGAGACAAGGTCTTGCTGTGTTGACCAGGCTGGTTTCAAACTCCTGGCCTCAAGCCAGCCTCCCTCCTTAGCCTCCCAAAGTACTGGGATTGTAGGCATGAGCCACTGCACCCAGCCAAATGTGTGTTGTTTCAAGCAAATCTGTGATAATTTGTTATAGCAGCCATGTTACACTAATGGAGTAATTGATAAGTATTTGGTTTTGAAATATTTTGATTCTATCCTCTCTTGTTCCTCATTGAAATTTCACCCTATTTACTATTATATTGATTGTTGTTATTAGTGTTATTCTTGCTAACATATATTGAGCAATTCCTATGTTCCAGGAGCTAAGTACTAAATGCACATTATCTAATTTCATGATCACCATAATCTTATGGGAATGATACTTTCTGTATCCATTTCATAGATTAAGAAACTGATGCTTAGCGAGGGGGAATCCTGCCCAATGTCACACTGCTCGTAAAGGGTGCCACTGGGATTTGAACCTAGGTAGTCTGGCTGCAAAATGCACCCTCTGAACCCCTTCACATACTCTCTCTCATCCTCAGGAGTGATCTTATCCCCTCACTACAGAGATGAGGAAACTGTCCCCTGGGAGGAGGAGTGACACTCTTCAGTCTTCCCAGCCATGTCTCCCGCCTCCATCCCCAGCCACCTCTCCACCACACCTGAATAAGCTCAGTTATATTGTCCTCCCCTGGTACCTGGCATCCAAGTGGGAAAACCCAGGTCTCTCTCCTTGCAAACCAAGTAATCATCCATGTCATTTCACTGGAGAGAAGTGGAATTTGTCACAAAATACAATGATAACAAGTTGCCAAGGACCTGAAGTTCCTGCAGACTAAATCTCAGGGTCAAGCAAAGCAAGGCACGTGGGAGTCTGGGGGCACTGCCTGGGGATGCTCTCATTTCTCTGCAGTTCTTGTGCGTGGGCTGTCTTCTCACAGTGTTGTCAGCTCAGCCAGGGCAGCAACAGCTTCCATGCATCTAACACAGCCCTGAGGACGTAGTAAATACTCACTGAGGTCAGTGCCATGATGCTGGTATTTACTGAGCCAGTGCTGTCTTGGGTGCTGGAGGTACAACTGTGACTAGCACAGACATTGCCACTGTCCCCCTGAAGCCCCTGGGCTAAAGGGGACATTCATCTATTGACAACCTCACCTTGATCACTCCATTTAGACAGTGCTTACGCCTGTGATTGGCATGTTGGAGGGTGGAGTATGTCACTGTTTCATGAGATTTAAAGGTCCTTTTATGGTGGAACACAACACAACACTGACAGATGAAAGGCAGTACTCCATGTTACTTACATCTGCAAACAAGAGAAAAGGTTGCCATGCAGGGCCATGCATGGGCTGCTCAGACTAACCAGAGTAACAGAGTGACAACCAGCTGGGGTTGGAAGGGGTAGCCTATATATGACAAGAGGGATCAGGGGTGCAGCTAATCTGTGAATCAGCTAATTTGAAGAATTTGCAGCTCAGGAGGGTAGGAGCTGTTTCTAGTTGTCTGGTATGTGGCCCTGACGTAGGCATGCACATAGTGTACCTCGCACATAGTGTGAGAGCTTGATAGGAGAAGTAGCTGGGGTGTAAACTTCATCTACTGCTTAAGAAGAAAGACTGACCGGCCTACAGCCAGGGCCTCAAAACTAGGTCAAGGCAGCCTTTAAAAAAAAAAAAAAAAAAAAAAAAAAAAAACAATAAAACCAAAACCAACAACAAAAAAAGCCTGCATTATAGTCATGTCCTCTCTGAGCCTCATCTGTAAAATGGGACAATAACATCTACCAAACAGGATTGAGTGAGGGTTACACAAAGGCAAGCAAAGTGACTGCACACAGTAAGTTCATGAGGGGAGTCATCCCTTATGCCAGCACTTAGGCAAAAAAATAAAATAAAACAAAATAAAAAAATCATAGCTCAAAAGTAGCTCTTGGAAATGCCAGAGAAAGGTGCATATCTATTCCCACCAAACCACACAGCCAGCTTTCCACCAGTGTTGAAGCAGGCTGATATTTACCTCAGGGAGCAGCAGAGGTAGGGATTGACTTGCATTCATGTTACATTCTGGAAGAAAGGTGAGATGCTCAGCATGAGAAGAACATAGAGCCTGAAGGAACAGCCATGTTTGATGTCTATCTCTTGCTCCACGGAGTATTTACCCTGTGGGTGGATCTCTCTGTCTCTCCTCTCCTGTCTTTTCCTCTCCTCTCCCTTTCCCTCCCCTCCTCCCCTCCCCTCCCCTCTCTCCCTTTCTCTCTCTCTCTGTCTCCACCACCCCCTGGCCTTTTTTCCTTCTTCTGTTCTTCCTCTGTCGTCTCCCTAATCCACAACATAATGGACATTTGTCATCCAGACATCTAAGCATCATTCCAGTTTGAAGAAATATCAAGATCCATGGGAGACAAAGACATTCCTCCCACTACAAAACTTAAAGACAAGCCAGGCACAGTGGCTCACGCCTGTAATCCCAGCACTTTGGGAGGCCGAGGCAGGTGGATCACGTGAGGTCAGGAGTTCGACACCAGCCTGGCCAACATGGTGAAACATCATCTTTCCTAAAAATACAAAAATTAGCCGGGCGTGGTGATGTGCACCTGTAATCCCAGCTACTCGGGAGGCTGAAGCACAAGAATCACTTGAGATCATACCACTGCACTCCAGCCTGGGCAACAGAGCAAGACTCTGTCTCAAAAAAAAAAAGACTTAAAGACGGTTCCCCTCCACCCTGCATACACCCAGAGCATGGTCCATCATTTGGCCCTACCCTGGCTTTGAATCTTGGGAGAGTGGCACAACTATTCCAAGAGATATTATTCTTGCTTTAAGATCATGTCCCTCAGTAACCTCGGGGCAAGTGTTCATCCACTCTTTGTGTGTCCCACAAATCCCTCCCCTCCACCCCAGTGCTATCCGTGGTGCTGGATCTGGCATCCGATGTGTCCTGGAGCTCTCTAGGGTGAGGATCAATTTCAGCTTTCTCCAGCTGCTCCTGACTCTTTCCCCAGCTGCCAAAATACCATCCAGGTGCCTGTTTCCTACCCCCTGAGATGTCATTTGCTCTAAAAAAAATCCCTGGAAGTGTATTTGTCTGCCAACATCCACAATCAGTTCTGACCCTTACCCAAACAACCACATCTTTTTTCAAGCTCTAGTTCATTCAGTTTACAAAGAGTGGGACAAGGACTGAGATTAAACAACTGGTTCTACCCATTAATAGCTGTTGTGCCCTGGAATAAGGCATTTATCTTCTCTTGGCCTGGGGTTGGAGCAGATATTCTCTAAACTTGTTCCCAGCCAGCCTCACATCCATCTTCTCCATAGATGCTACTGAAATATCAATCCAGATGACCTGTAAATAGAGTTCTGTTGAGCACAGAAACTTAGAATCAGGTTGGAGAAAGGAGATAACATGTCTTCTGACATATATTTTATACCTTTTAAACATTCCTTTGACTGATGGATTGGCCTACTACATAGGATACTGAAAACAATAAACTCTCTTTAGAGTTGACAATTAGGATGCAGAAATCAAAGGAAGGGGATGATCATTTAGAATACAAAAGTCTTGCCTGTAATCGCAGCACTTTGGGAGGCCGAGGCGGGCAGATCACGAGGTCAGGAGATCAAGACCATCCTGGCCAACACGTTGAAACTCTGTCTCTACTAAAAAAAATACAAAAAATTAGCCGGACGTGGTGGTGGGCGCCTGTAGTCCCAGCTACTCGGGAGGCTGAGGCAGGAGAATGGCATGAACCCAGGAGGCGGAGCTTGCAATGAGCCAAGATCATGCCACTGCACTCCAGCCTGGGCGACAGAGCAAGACTCTGTCTCAAAAAAAAAAAGAATACAAAAGTCTCCTTGACTTGGATGGCAAGAGTCATGTTAGAATTCCTTGAAATGATGAAAATCTGATTTAATTTTCAAGTTCAATTAATACCTAATATTTAATTTATATGGTGAGAAAGTCACTTGCATCAACTAATAAACAAAGTAGATCTCCAACTCAAGGGTTTCAAACAGTTTCAATCCTAAGGCTTTCAGGATTGATAACATCTCATGCCAGATTTTGTGACTCAGAAAGGTTAAATCCCAACGATCAAGGACCATGGCAAAGATTGATAGGAGAATGAGGTCAGTCCAGTTCCAACTTAACTGATAATCTCTTTCTCAATGCATGATCAAAGGCAGCAACTCATAGCCTTCTCATTGCCTATTTGATCGCTTGATTACCACCACATTTCCAAGTAGGATGAGCCTCATCTGTTTCCAAGGAGGGGAGAGACTAAAATATTGTGATTAAGCTCCAGACTCCTGATAGGTTAGAATCCCCATCTCCCCTTGTTCTGTGGCATTGACCATTTTAAGAGCCCTTCTTAAGCTTCAATTTCCTCACCTGTAAAATGAGCATAAGAGATGTGCCTTCCTCTTCGGGTGGTTTAGTGCAGTGTTTCTCAACTGCACATGAATCACTTTGGGCTCTTGTTAAAATGATTCTGATTCAGTAATTTGGGGCTCTATTTCTGATATGGCAGAGTAAGACCTAACAGACTAATAATCCCACACATAACAACCATAAACTCTTGACAAAATACAAAAAGAAATTACCTTAAGTGTCAGGGGAGTGGAGGAAAAAAAAAACAGGTAGATTTTGGAAAGGAGTCAAATTTTGGAGGAAAGGACCAGCACAGGATGAGTTTCTCATTTTTGTACTCTGATCTGAGGGCAGGCTACAGCTGTGGCATAGTACAGAGAAGATAAAACTCTCATAGAAAGCTTTCCAAATTTCTGGCCTGCAAAACTGAGAAAGGAGCCCAAGGTAACCATAGCCACAGTCAGGGACAATCCTAGAGGGGAGAGAGAAGAGAAAAAGAACCCCAGATTCTGGGTATATATTTAGTCTATGTTTCTAGCTCACCACTTGACCATGCATACACAGAAGAAACTAAAAGTAAATTATAGGTAAGACTCAAAAAATTCAACTAAGATTTTTAATTGCTGCCCACATAGGTGACACAGAGTTTGCAATCAACAAGCTTAATTGACTGCTAAAACAAAAACATCAATACTCTTCAGAGCAATATAACAAAATCCATAATCACAACAAAACATTCACAACATCCAGCATAAAATCCAAAGTCACTTAGCATGCAGAGAATCAGGAAGATGTGACCCATTGTCAAGGAAAAGACAATCAACAGAAGCCAACCCTGAGATGAACCAGACGGTGGAATTATCAGACAAGGATTTAAGTCAACTATTGTACCTATGTCCAGTTACATAATGAAAAATGTGCTCATAGTGAATAAGAAGATGGGAAATCTTAGGAGAGAAATATAAAATATAAAAAACAAACCAAATGGAAATTTTAGAATTGGATAGTACAAAAAAAGAGTCAGCAAACTTGGAGATAGATCAGTAGAAACTATCTATTCTGGCTGGGTATGGTGGCTTATGCCTGTATTCCCAGCACTTTGCAAGGTCAAGGGAGGAGGATCACCTAAGGCCAGGAGTTCAAGACCAGCCTGGACAACTTAGTGAGACTCTATCTCTGAAAAAAAAGAAAGAAAATATTAATCATTCTTGAGAAAAAAAAAAAAGATTGAGAAACAAATTAACAGAGTCTCAGAGGCTTATAGAACAATATCAAAAGGTCCAAAATGAAGGTAATTTGAGTCCTGGAAGGAAAAGAGAGGAGAGAGGGGGAGACAGAAAGAGAGAGAGAGAATGAGGCAGGACAAAAAAAAAAAGGATTTGAAGAAATAATAAAATAATATCCATAAACTTTTCAAATTGGTGATTTAGCAGATCCAAAGAAAGGGCTGAGATTCTGCCTTTCCAACAAGCTCATAGGTAGCATGGATTGACCATACTTTGAGTGTATAGGGTCTAGACCAGCACTGCCCAGTAGAACTTTCTGCCATGAGAGAATATTCTACATCTTCATTGTCCCACATGGTAGCCACTAGCCAATGTGACTATTGAAAACTGGAAATGTGGGTAATGTAATTATAATACCTAATTTTGCTTTTTGGTAATATAAACCTAAATTGAAAAACCACATGTGGCTAGAGGCTTCCATATTGAATGGTGCCATTCTAGAGGATTTAATGAGATGGTACTTGTAAAGAACTTGCAGGATACCCAGAATAAAATAGTTCTCAATATGAACTAACCATTATCACCAACATCATCGTCATCAAGATCCACCTACTTCATTCTCTTGCTTAGGATCACCTGCTTTTCCCCCAACAGACTGGGACAAGACACTGTCCCTCATGACCTCTAGCTCCTTCCACCACCTAATTGTTGTTGACAAAGTTTTTGCAGCCTCTTCCATTGTCCCATTAGAATGGGAAGATGACTTTTGTCTCATCCCAACTCCTTTAATTTCTCTGTGAGTCAAACAATGTTAGTCCTCTCTGGATGAGGCTGGGGTTCCTTGTACTTTAAAGAGCCCTTCCACTGAAATGGCGTGAAGTTTTTATTCTTTACTTAAGAAGTTTTTATTCTTTACTTAAAGAAAGAGTTGTGAAAGCATGACACCATGCAGGCACAGGGGAGCCCTCCTGTTCCATCTCTGCTGTGCTCTCGTCAAGTCTCATATCAGCCCATGCACTCATAAGAATCAAGCCTAGATTGGAATAGCTATTAACTTTGTGAGGAAGAGAGGCTATCACCACAGTCAAGCCGTTTCTGTACAACAGTATTAAGCAGCAGCCACTGGGAGCATCTCCAATTGGCATGTTCCTACTCTAGCTGGAAACAGTATAGAAAGAGGGAAGGATTGCAAAGTAGCTGCGTCCCACTTCCCCGAGAGTGGGAATAGGGAATTGATGGGGGGTTACTTCCTGGTTTTAACTAAACTAAAAGTCAAGGAGTTATCTACTAAAACTTTGAAACAGGCTTCAAAGGAGTCTGTATGGGCTGTGTGACTTTAGGCAAGTTTCTTAGCCTCTCTGAGTCCCAATTTCTTTATACGGTAAGTGGAGGCAATAATAATACCTATAACGTAGAGCTATTTTGAGGTGTGACAGCGGAGTAGTCCCAAAGAGAAGTCAATATGAGCATCCCAGCAATCCTACAAAATGATTTTTGAAGCTCCTTTGATCAGAAATATCTCCCTATCTCAGTGCTTGGAATTTCATTATAAATGTCTTGGCTTAAAGCAATAGTGGAGAAAGACACTCACCTGAGAGGGATCGTAGGCTCAGAATATTCTAGTCCAAGCCTTTTCGAACTTTAAAGTGCATGTGGGTTACCTGGGAATCATGTTAAAATGCAGATTGGGATTCATTGGCCTGGGCTGGGGCCTGAGAATCTGAATTTCTAGCAAGTTCCGGGCTAATCCAGATGCTTCTGTAGCACAGGCCACAGTTCAGGTAATGAGGCCCTAGGGATCTTGCTACATCTCATAAAACCAGTTCCCCTCACGGGGTTATCTTGCTCACAGTGACACACCAAATGTAGTAAAAAATGAAAATGCCAGATAATAATAATTCTATTACCAACCTTATTTTATAGATGGAAAAGCTAGATCTCAGAGAGGTTAAGATATTTGCCCCAAGGCACACAGCTAGTGAGAGAAAGATCTGGGATTTGAACCCATGGCTCTCTAGGTCTACGTGCTTCACCATTACGAAGTACTTGCAAAGGCCCACAATAAGGCTATTATCTCAGAATCTTCATTTTTTTTTTAATGGAAGGGAGGCTTGGTAGCCTAAAATACTAGCCCATAACCTGTCAGTGGTATGCCTTTTTGCATCTTAGAATCACCTGGGGGAGACATTTAAACTATTAATGCCCAAAGCTCACCATGCACCAATTAAATCACAATCTCAGCCAGGTGCAGTGGCTCACACCTGTAATCCCAGCACTTCGGGAGGCCAAGGCGGGCAGATCATTTGAGCCCAGGAGTTTGAGACTAGCCTGGGCAACATGGCGAAACCCCATTTCTACAAAAAATACAAAAATTAGCCAGACATGGTGGCTCATGCCCGTAGTCCCAGCTACTCTGAAACCTGAGGTGGGAGGAATGCTTGAGCTCAGGAGGCTGAGGTTGCAGTGAGCTGTGATCACGCCACTGTGCTCCAGCCTGGGTGACAAAGTGAGACCCTGTCTAAAAAAAAAAAAAATCTGGGATGGGACCCCTTGGTAGTTTAAGGTGTTTCCAATTTGCAGCTAAGGAAGAGAATTATTGGCTTCAAGCCTGGGCTCTGACCACCAAGGAGAACAATGCAATTGAAAAAGCCAGAGGGCTCGGCAGAGACATGGCCAACACGATTCATGTAGCCAAGAAGGCAGTTCCTACCTTAGCCTTGTGCCAGCAGCCACTCCCCCCTTTTCATCAGTATTAACAGTTACAATCCTAATGTCTCTCTATTATCCATGCATAATGAAGCCTGATGAGGATTAAGATGGGTACACAATCATGGGGGATGGTGGGAAGAGAATAGCTGTGGGTATGTAATTAGACCCACTAATTGTCCAATGTTAAAGATGCTTTTCCTGCATCTCATTGAGATGTTTAGTAAACAAAGGGGAGGGTGGGGAGAGCTCAGTGAAAGCTACAGCTGCATTTCCCAGGGCTTCACTCAGCAGAAGTCTAAAAAACCCAGCATTCCTTGTTTGGGCGCTGATATACACTGAAAGACCCAGAGGGCCTTGCATGGCAAGAGTGGGTAGTGGGACAGAGAGGGATTTAGAATCGATGTACTCTAATGCAATCCTTCTACAGACGGGGAGAACCAGCAACCCTTATCCCAACTCCTAAAAGAGCTGCCCAGACTCGTGGCATCCGTCCTTCCCTAAGAAGTCCTCTAAATGGACCACTGCTGAGTGTTGCCTGCCTGACATCCTTTTCCCTTCATTTGCTACCAACAACTTCATTTTTATTTGGAGACTTGTTCCTGCCTACTCACTCCCATTGAATGCATTTCTTTGGGGCTGTCCATCAAAATGCTCCTTCTTCCCTTGATTCAATCTGAACCACTCAGCTCTCTCCTAGGAGTGAAATCTTAAGCACAGCAAAGACAGACTAGAAATAGGTGGAGCTGACCAATCATTGTCACCAAGCCCCGAAACCACTGGTTTCCACAGCCACCTGGTTCCCCAGGGTGCCAAAGTCCTTTCATTCCTAGGGACTGTCATTCAGCTACATTTGGTCCCATGAGATATTCTTACCAATTCACTTTTGTTCAAAATAGCCAAGAGCTTGATAATACTGTGTCCCATGTTTCATAAGCAGAAGGCTGGAAATAAAGTGGAGAAGTACACAAAAAACCCTTGCTTCCAATATCACAGGACTTTGAGTTCACAGATCATTAGAATGAGAGTGGACTTAACTGACCAACTCCCTGCCAAGTCATTGTCCAGCCTCCCAGTGGGAAGTCTTCACCTCCCAGTGAATCTTCTTCAATGGGTTTTGCAGCTCTGCCACTTGCTGGCTGTGGAGTAAAGGACAAATCACTTTGCTGCTCTGAGGCTCAGTTTGTATATGTTGTTGCACTGTGTGTTCTGAATGAGATAATGTCTGCAAAATGCTTTGCATATATATGGTATACAGTAAGTACTCAAATAAAGGCAGTTACCATATCTTGCATGGAAACAAAATCTGCCTATTCCCAGAGCACCACCCCCACACCATCCCACTTACCTCATAGAACCAAAGGTCTTTGACAAGGAAAATGTTTCTAGGTCTTCATGTTACTAAAATAACAGACCCAGAGAGCTCCAAGAGGTAACCCAGCCTCACGTAGCCTCAAGAGGTAACCCAGCCTCACGTAGCAAGCAACTGTGGTACGGGACTTGAGTTCCATAATGTCTTGCTGGCTGGCTGGTCTTTGAGCCATACCTTCAATGTTGTCTCCAAGGTCCAAAAGGAGACCTGAAACCACCAAGATGGACAACAGGGAAGAAAATTGTTTCTTGTGGAAAAAGAAAGAGAAAAGGAAATTATTTGATACAGTGCTCCCAGATTCCATCTTGAACATGTCCATCACCCATCACCTCGCTGGGTAATTGCCCACACAGTTACTGCATTACAGCTCCAATTAGATACTGTGGCCTACATTTGGGAAACCAAATAATTCACTCTGCTAAATTTGGTGCTGGGATTCTGCATTTATAAATCCAGCCCAGCGTGAGATCCAGGACAAATAAAACTCTATTCCCTGGACAGGTTAAGATGAGGCATCCATTCTTATTACAAACCCAATTAAAGCTTCCTAGAATCACAAGATGTGTAAAGCGTTGGTGAGGCATGCCAGAGATCTCAAACCCAAATGCCTGCAGAGGCTAGGCCAGTAATGTCAATGAATGAAGACGGACAGGTGGATGCTATCGTGACCCGAGGGGTATATGCTTGGCCTAAGGAAGGAAGCCACCACTCAGCATCAGCTAATCATCGCCATGTGGGAGTATGGGCCCAGGGTTGCCACTCCCAGCTCCATCATTCACCAGCTGTGTGACCTTGGGCAAGCCACTAAACTTTTCTTGTCACTCAATTTTCTCATCCACAAAATGAAGATAATAATAGTGGCTACCTCTTAAGGTGGTTCTGAGAATTAAATATGCCATACATTGAAGTACTTAGAACATTGCTTACCCCATAGGAAGGACTCAATAACTACTAGCTTGTTGGTTGTTAAGTCAATGGTTTCAAAACAACGGATTCTTGGAGTCCATTATGGGGGCAAGGGTATTCAAGCTATTCTCAATATAGAAAGGCTAACTACAGGGGGTAAGACCAGATTGACTAAAGAATCTTTTATTTTGGCTGGTATTCTGGCATTCTAGTAGACTCTAGAAGAATTACATTAGGACTATTGCAATCAGAACCTTATTTGACTCATGATTATCTTTAACTTATTAAAATTTGGGCAACTAATTAATTCCTATTTTATGCAGTGGATTTAGTGAGCAAGATATTTTCAATTAAGGAGTCCTGGGGATAAAACAACAGGATTCTTGGTGAGCAAAAATTTGGGCACCGTTGTTCTATAACTAGAATATAGAAGATCTGGGTTTGGAATCGAGATGCTTAAATCCTTGACTTCATTATGATAATCGAAAGGAAATTCACCGATCATGGGTGGAGGATACTAGTGAACAAACTATTGTGAAAATTAGTAAATAAAGGGAAAGGAGCATGCATTTATTCTGCCTTTCCTCAAAGAACTGTACCTCAGGCTACCCAAATATTTGATAATACATTATAGATGTATTATAGGTAATAAATAAATATGGAATTATAGAAAGAGTATCACCCTTTTACAAACCCTACAAAATTAATAGATTTAGGCATTGAGCATCAATAGCTGCTAATATCACAAAAAGCACACTACCTGCTATGTCTTACAAAAAGAAATGAACATAAGTCTGATAAACCCTCTAGATCCAACTACCAATTTTCAAGGAAAACCAAGAAAAGAACACCTTAAAGAAACCATGAGACTATAGCAAAATATAGACTGGAGGAATCTTCTAGAGAAAATAACAGTTCTTCCACAATAAATTGCAAAGACCAAAAGGGTTATAAAGGAAGGGGACAGGTACAGTGATTCATTCCTGTAAACCCAGTGCTCTGGGAGGCTGAGGTGGAAGGATAGCTTGAGGCCGGGAGTTCAAGACCAGCCTGGGCAACATAGTGAGACCCCCATCTCTACAACAAATAAAAACACCAGACAGGGTGGTGTGAGCCTGTATTCCCAGCAACTCAGGAGGCTGAGGTGGAAGGATTGCTTGGGCCCAGGAGTTCAAGGCTGCAGTGAGCTATGATCACACCACTGCACTCCAGCCTGGGTGACAGAGTGTGAGACCCTGTCTCTGAAAAAAGCAAGAGAGAGAGAGAGTTAGAAAGGAAGGGGATCTACAGATTTAAAAAGACTTAGGCATATTAACCAAGTGAAACATATGAACTTTATTTGGATCCTGTGGTGGGCAGAATAATGGCCTGCAAAGATGTTCATCTCCTCATCCCTAGAACCTGTGAATACAGGTTATGGCAAAAGAGACTTCGCACACGAGGTTAAGGTTAGGGATCTTGAGATGGGAAGATTACTCCAAGTTTTTCAGGAAGGGTCAGTCTAATTTAATGAGTCTGTAAAAGTGGAGAATCCTTTCTGGCTGTAATCAGAAAGCAATGTGACTATAAAAGAAGGATCAGAGAGGAGCGATGTAACTGGTTTAGATGGTGGAGGAAGGGAGCCACAAGCCACAGGATGTGAACAACCTCTAAGAAGGTGGAAAACACAAACAGGCAGGTTCTCCTACAGAGCCTCCAGAAAGGCACATGGCTCTAATGATGCCTTGACTTCTGCTCAGAGATATCCGTGTTCAACTTCCAGAACTATAAGATCATAAATTTGTATTGCTTAAGCCACCAAGTTTATAGTGATTTGTTACAGCAGCAATGGAAAACTAATATGGATCCAAACAAGCAAACCATAGTTTTGGGATGATCTGTGCAGCAAACCGCCATGGCACATGTTTACCTATGTAACAGACCTGCACATCCTGCACATGTACCCCTGAACTTAAGAGTTGTAAATAAAATAAATACATTTTAAAATTTTTTAAATAAAAATTAAATCATTGGGAGAAATTTTAACAGTAGATATTTGATGATTTTAAGAAATTAGTGAGCTAAGAAATTACTTGATAGTATTAAAGAATTAGCTGATCATGACATTTCAAATTTTTGGTAATCCCCAGATTTTTGTGTTTTTGGTGCAATGCTCCTGCAAGTGATGTTTTGAGTGAGTACTCACAGGAGGAAAGAGATAATGGGGGCAAAGCAGGGAAGAGGGTAAACTCTAAGCAAGGGTATGGCCAGCTAGAGAATAGCCTTAGCCTGGACCCAGAAGGATCTGTGGAGCATAAATTACATCATAGAGATGACAACACCTAGAGGCCAGGAATCTGGATTTTGTTCCTCTGTGTCAGTTACTGGCTCTGTGCTGCTGCCAGGTAATAGAGGGCTAAAGCTGACTCACCAGAGAATGAGGCGAGGTATCCATGAGGCATGCAGTCAGCACTCACAGCACCTGGAACACGGGTCCACCAGCCCATTAAAGGGATCTGGGAGGGACACCAACAGCGTCTATTACAGTCTACGCCTTAAACTGCTCCGATCCATCGCTTCTCACATTAAGTTCATTCCATGCAGCTGTAGCTTCTCTCTAGGACTCTGACTGGTCACCATTTGGAAGAAATTTTGACAAGAAGATTAGTGGGATAAACTAGAGCTTCCACGGCTGCAGGTGGTCTCGAGGCTATCACTAATACTCACCATCTCCCTCCTCCACGACTCATTCTAGATCACCCTCTCCATCAGTTAGCACTTCTGCTGGACTAAAAGGCTGGTCAGATGGAGTGATACACACCCTCATCCTGGAGGGTCTGAGCCCCTGGTTACAATGCTCTTATCAGGCAGTGGTTGCTAACTGCCCATTTTCAGTGACAGTTAGTCATGGGGGTACAAAGTAATGCCCCGGTGAAGCACCTGAGAACCAATAATATCTCTCTCTGTTCTCATGGTGTAGCTGCAGCCCAGTCTCATCATGATAAGAAGGGCCAATGCCCTGTGCCAGGATGGTGACTATTTTCTTTGCCTTATGGTCTTCTCAAAGTGCCCAGATGGCAGGCATAGATTTATGTTTGCTTTTATTGTGTCCTCTGGTGGAAATTGCCCCCGCTGGAAATTATAATCTTGAGGTTCACAGAGCCTGATGACACCACACAAATCCTCCAAGCTCATCACTAGGAGGTATGGAGAGCGAATCAATGCCAATTTTCATTTCTTGGCTCTCGAACCCAATATTCTACCTCTTAATGACACAGCAAGATATAATGGCCATTGATTTACAGAATATTCTGCATCCATAAGGCTAGTGTGCCAAACTTGCAGGGTGTCATCTCTAAGCTAACAGATCAGCTATGCGTTCAGTGGGCCATTCCACTGCTCTAACAGATGTACCCGCCTCTGGATAATGCAGAATACGGTAAGACCAGTGGATCTTATGGTCATGTGCCCACTGCTGCATCACTTGGCACAAAGTAGGATTCTACAGTATCACATGATGGCACATACATATGAATCCTTAAACAGCAGTGTTGGCTGAGGCCCTGAGAGCAGGAAAGGCAAACACACACCTGGAATACACGTCAATCCCAATCAAGATGTCCACAGTGTAAAAATCTAATACAGTCAATTTTTCACTCTATCATGTCCACATCAGGTGCGGATGGTTTCCTCCAGGGATTATATCATGTGGGAGACAGCATTCTCTCTGTTGTGAGAAGATTAGTGATTGAGCAACAGCAGTACCTGGATCAGCCTTGGTAAGACAGATCATGGTGTTTGTCCCATGCATCATCTCCATCTCTGCCACCACGGCTACTCCGTGGTGCAAACCCTGGGTTGGCCACAGAGAGAGAATAGCTGACACCTACTGGCTAAGTCATCCTGTCCATATGATTTTTTTAGTGCTTTTTTCACAATAGATGTCTTCTGGTTGGCATCAAAATACGAAATAAGGCCAGGGCATGGTGGCTCATGCTTGTAATTCCAGCACTTTGGAAGGCTGAGGTGGGCAGATCACCTGAGATCAGGAGCTCAAGACCAGCCTGGCCAACATGGCAAAACTCTGTCTCTACTAAAAATACAAAAATTAGCCAGGCATGGTGGCAGGCCTTTGTAATCCCAGCTACTCGGGAGGCTGAGGCAGGATAATTGCTTGAACCCAGGAAACAGAAGTTGCAGTGAGCCAAGATCGTGCCACTGCACTCCATCCTGGGCAACAGAGTGAGACTCCATCTCAAAAAAAAAAAAAAAAGATACAGAATAAGGAATCTACGCTTTGTAGCCAGTCTCATATCTCTATCTGCATACCTTATCCCCAAACTCTTTACCTCATCTTCCAATATTTCTCCAGGCCCTTGAGCAATCAGCCAAATCATTCACCACTTTCCAGAAGTTCATGTCTGTATTAGGCTATTCCTGCATTGCTATAAAGAAATACCTGGCCGGGCATGGTAGCTCACACCTGTAATCCCAACAGTTTGGGGCACCAAGGCGTGCAGATTACCTTTGGTCAGGAGTTCGAGACCAGCCTGGCCAACATGGTGAAACCTCGTCTCTACTAAAAATGCAAAAATTAGTCAGCCGTGGTAGCACGCACCTGTAATCCCAGATACTCAGGAGGCTGAGGCAGGAGAATCGCTTGAACCCAGGAGGCAGAGGTTGCAGTGAGCCAAGATCACACCATTGCACTCCAGCCTGGGCAACAAGAGCAAAACTTGAAAGAAAGAAAAGCAAGAAAGCAAGAAAGCAAGAAAGCAAGAAAGCAAGAAAGCAAGAAAGAGAAAGAAAGAAAGAAAGAAAGAAAGAAAGAAAGAAAGAAAGAAAGAAAGAAAGAAAGAAAGAAAGAAAGGAAGGAAGGAAGGAAGGAAGGAAGGAAGGAAGAAAGGAAAGAAAGAAAGAAAGAAAGAAAGAAAGAAAGAAAGAAAGAAAGAAAGAAAGAAAGAGAAAGAAAGAGAGAGAAAGGAAGGAAGGAAGGAGAAAGAAAGAGAGAGAGAAAGGAAGGAAGGAAGGAAGGAAGGAAGGAAGGAAGGAAGGAAGGAAGGAAGGAAGGAAGGAAGGGAGGAAGGAAGGGAGGGAGGGAGAGAGAGACCTGAGACTGGGTAATTTATTAAGAAAAGATTTTCCATTGACTCACAGTTCCACAGTCTTTAAAGAAAGGCAACAGCATCTGCTCAGCTTCTGGTGAACCCTCAAAGAGCTTTCACTCATGGTGCAAGGTGAAGCAGGAGCAGGCATATCACATGGCAAAAGCAGGAGCAGGAGGCAGGGAGGTGCCACACACTTTTACACAACCAGATCTCATACGAACTCAGAGTGAGAGCTCACTTACCATTAAGGGGGTGGCACAAGCCATTCATGAGGAATCCACCCCATGACCCAAACACCTTCCACCAGGCCCCACCTCCAACATTGGAGATTATATTTCTATTTCTTTTTCTTTTTTCTTTTCTTTTCCTTTTCTTTTGAGACAGGGTCTCATTCTGTCACCCAGGCTGGAGTACAGTGGCACAATCATGGCTCGCTGCAGCCTCAACCTCCCAGCCTCAATTTATCCTGCCTCCTGAGTAGCTGGGGCTACAGGTATGTGCCATCATGCCCTGCTAATTTTTGTATTTTTTGTAGAGATGAAGTTTCACCATGTTGCCCAGGCTGGTCTCGAACTCCTGGGCTAAAGCAATATAATGCCAAAGTGCTGGGATTATAAGTGTGAGCCACCATGCCCAGCCAGGAGATTACATTTCAACATGAGATTTGGGTGGGGACAAATATCCAAACTGTGTCAATGTTTATCCTTAACTTGGGCCATTTCTCTCTCTACACAAAGTGAATGGCTTGGAAGGTGCTCAGAGATTGAGACGATCTCCCCTCACCAGTCCTTCAGGGCCAACTCCAAGTGTGCCTGTAGTGCTGCCACAGTCCATTTTTGGCTTACAGCCACAGACTGGGTCAAGCAAGCTTATTCCTCTTCCACCAGCTGGAAACCCCTCCATGTGTCATAAGTGAGAGTCAAGAGAGTGGCCCTGGGTGCTTGTGTTCCCTGGACCTGCTTGAGCCCAGTCCAATAGATACCACCTCCAATTTACAACAAACTGCTGCTGGGCCCACCTGACCTTATGCCTTTATAGGCCTCACAGTGCCCAGCTCTTGATGAGACTAGCAGCTTCCAACTACATGGTTACTTGATATCACACAATCAGACACTCGGTTGTCACCAGAGCCCAGTAGCAAGCCCAGAGCTGCTTTTCAGATGGTATATACTGTTGGGTGCTTTAGATGGTGTGTTTGTTTCCCAGAGCTGCCATAACAAATTATCACCAACTGGGTGGCTTAAAACAACAGAAAACTTATTCCTCACAGTTCTGGAGGCCAGAAGTCCAAAGTCAAGGTGTTCACAGGGTTGGTTCCTTCTGAGGCTCTCAGGGAGAAACCATCCCATGCCTCTCTCCCAGCTTCTGGTGTTGCTGGCAATTCTTGGTGTTTCTTGTCTTCTAGACACATTGCTCCAGTCTCCGCCTCTGTCTTCATATGGCATTCTCTCCCTGTGAGTAAGTATGCCTCCAGATCTCCCTCTCCTTATAAGGACACAAGTCATCCTATTTAGGGTGCACCCTAATACAGGATGACCTTATTTTAACTTGATTACATCTGCAAAGACATTATTTCCATATAAGGTCACATTCATAGGTACCAGGAGTTAGGACTTCAACACATCTTTTTGAGACACAATTCCACCAACTATAGATAGCATGGCCATATACCAAAACCCCAGCATCCTTCTCTACCAAAAATCCCCCTAGTTCCATGATGTTTGCTAAGTCATATGCTCAAGCAATAGGGCTGCTTGTACAGCAGCTTGGATCTGCTCCAGAGCCCTTTTCTGCTCTTGGCTGAACTCAAAAACTAGCAGCCTTCCCTGTCATTCGATAAAAGTGTTGGAGAAGTATTTTCAAGTGCAAAGTATTCTGTCTTCAAAACCCAAAAAGGCCCACCAAGCATTGTGCTTCTTTTTATTTGGTGGAAGGTGCAAAGTGCAATAACTTGTCCTTACCTTAACAGGGGATGTGCTGGCAGATCATTGGACCCTTGAAAACTTCACTAACATGGCAAGCTTCTGAATCTTAATAGGTTTTCTCTCCTATCTTCTGGACGAAATTTGACTTACCAAGGCATTCAGGGTACTTCCCATTCCTTTTTTGTATTTTAATCTTTTTAAATTTGATTTTCTTAATTGGCCCACAATAATTATATATACCTATGAGGTACATAGTGATGTTGTGATACATATAAAGTATAGTGGGCCAAGCACCATGGCTCATGCCTGTAATCTCAGCACTTTGGGAGGCTGAAGCAGGAGGACTGCTTACGTTCAGGAGTTCAAGACCAGCCTGAGCAACATAGCAACACTTTTTCTCTACTAAAAATTAAAAAAAAAAAAAAATGGCCATGCATGGTGACATGCACTTGTAGTCCCAGCTACTTGAGAGACTGAGATGGGAGGATCACTTGAGTCTGGGAGATCAAAGCTGCAGTGAGCTGTGATCATGCCACTGCACTTCAGCTGTGATCACTCCAGGGCACTCCAGCGTAGGCAACAAAGTAAGACCCTGTCTCAAAAAAATAAAAATATAGTGATTAAATCAGGATACTTAGAAATATCATCACCTCAGACATTTATCATTTCTTTGTGTTGGAATATTCAGTATCCTCCTTCTAGCTATTTGAAACTATATACTTATTATTATTATTATTATTATTATTATTACTATTAGGGACAGGTCTTTCTCTGTCACCCAGGCTAGACAGAAGTGGCATGATCATAGCTCACTGTAAACTTGTACTGCTGAGCTCAAGTGATCCTTCCACCTCAGGCTACCAAGTAGCTGGGTCTACAGGCATGTACCACCCACACTCAGGTAATTTAATTTTTTTGTAGAGACAGAGTCTTGCTATGTTGCTCAGGCTGGTCTCAAACTCCTGGCCTCAAGAGATCCCCCTGCCTCAGCCTCCCAAGGCACTGGGATTACAGTCATAAGCCACCACGCCTGGCCCTGAAACTATGTAATATATTTCTGTTAACTACAGTCATTTGCAGCAACATGGATGGAACCGGAAGGCATTATGTTAAGTGAAATGCAGGTTCTCACTTATATGTGAAACCTAAAAAGAGTTAATCTCATAGAAGTAAAAAGTAGAACAGAGGATACTAGAGGCAGGGCAGAGTAAGGGGACAGGGGCAGAAAAGGAAAGATTTGTTAAAGGATACAAAACTACAGCTAGATGGAAGGAATGTGTTCTAATACTTTATAGCACACGTAGGATGACTCAGCACTTTCTGCTCATCAGGTCTAATTAACACGATGTCACTAAGGTGGTGGAGCAATGTGATGTCCTGCAGACTTTCTAGGGGATCCAGGTCCCTTCAGACTATATTGAGCAAAGAACTGGAGAATTAACATGGCCCTGAGGAAAGACCATGAATTTATCTGTTATTTGTCCCATGTAAATGAAGACTGCTTCTGATGCTCATTCTTGACAGGTATTGAAAAGGACACATTCACTAGATCAGTAGCTGTACATCTCACATCAGAGGCTGTGCTGCTCTGCTCTGGAAAAGATACTGCTACTAGCATAGCAGTGAGATCACGGCTGCTACTTGATTGCATTTGAGATAGTCCACTGTCATCCGCCATGATCTGCCTGGTTTTTGCAGGGGTTGATTAATTTAAAAAGAAGCAATGGGCGGCCAGCCGCCCCGTCCGGGAGGGAGTTGGGGGGCAGCCCCCACCCCGGCCAGCCGCCCCATCCGGGAGGGAGGTGGGGGGCAGCCCCCGCCCAGCCATTGCCCCGTCTGGGAGGTGGGGGGCGCCTCGGCCCAGCTGCCCCGTCTGGGAAGTGAGGAGCCCCTCTGCCCGGCCGCCACCCCGTCTGGGAGGTGTACCCAACAGCTCATTGAGAACAGGCCATGATGACGATGGCGCTTTGTCGAATATTAAAGGGGGAAATGTGGGGAAAAGAAAGAGAGATCAGATTGTTACTGTGTCTGTGTAGAAAGAAGTAGACATGGGAGACTCCATTTTGTTCTGTACTAAGAGAAATTCTTCTGCCTTGGGATGCTGTTAATCTATAACCTTACCCCCAACCCCGTGCTCTCTGAAACATGTGCTGTGTCCACTCAGGGTTAAATGGATTAAGGGCGGTGCAAGATGTGCTTTGTTAAACAGATGCTTGAAGGCAGCATGCTCTTTAAGAGTCATCACCACTCCCTAATCTCAAGTACCCAGGGACACAAACACTGCGGAAGGCCGCAGGGTCCTCTGCCTAGGAAAACCAGAGACCCTTGTTCACATGTTTATCTGCTGACCTTCCCTCCACTATTGTCCTATGACCCTGCCAAATCCCCCTCTCCGAGAAACACCCAAGAATGATCAATAAATACTAAAAAAATAAAATAAAATAAAATAAAAATAAATAAAAAATAAAATAAATAAATAAAAAGAAGCAATGGGACCAAACCTGTGTATCATAGAAATCCTTGAGGGTGAAGCTCATCTCCATTTTTCCTCCAGGATGTAATATTGTTTTTTATTTACTATCTTGGCTGCGGCTGGAAGGGAGTAGTCTCAAGGACTTCCACTGGGCCTTTCCTACTACAATAGCTGTTACTTCTTAGGTCAAAGAACCAACAATTAAAAGTCATACCAACAATTAAGTATGTCTATTCTAACTGTGCATTTGGAAACAAGAATGACCAATAGCTAGTCTGTAGAATATCACATGGGTCAATTTCCCAGACAAACTGCAGGAGATGAACCTAGTGTAGGGCTCCATGTATCATATTAGTTGGCCTTCATGTGCCACCACTCTAACAGGAGCCACGACGGTGCTTTGGCTCTTTGGATATTAGCATCAACCCATACCCTATGTCCAACAGTCCTCAACATCCCTGTATTAATTTTCTGTTGCTGCCAAAACAAATTACCACAAACTTGGTGGCTTAGAATGGTACCCACTTATTATCTCACAGTCCTGTAAATCAGAAGTCTGGTTATAGCATGACCCAATGGGTCCTCTGCTTAGAGTCTCACAAGGCTGAAATCAAGGTGTTGGCCTGGATCCCTTTCTGAAGGCTCTGGGGATGAATCTGCCACCAAGCTTATTCAGGTTGATGGCTGAATTTGGTTCCTTGTAGTTGCAGGACTGAGGTCTCATTACCTTGCTGGATGTTAGTCTTCAATCGTAGAAGCTGCTCACATTTTTTTCTCATGCCTTGATGTAGCCCCCTCTAGCAAGGACAGTTTGAGTCCCTCTCAGCTTTGAATCTCTCTGACGTCCCTTCTGCCTTCTCTCCTGCCTCCATCTGGAGAAAGTACTCTACTTTTCAAGGTTCCTGTGATTAGTTCAAACCCACTTGGATTATCCAGGATCATCTTTCTATCTTAAAATCTGTAATCTTAATTATAGCTACCATGTCTCTTTTTCTATATGTAATATATTGAGAGTGTTATAGTTTATTTCATGTTGCCATAACAGAGTATTAAAGACTGGGTAATTTTTTTTTTTTTTTTTTTTTTTTGAGATGGAGTCTCGCTCTGTCGCCCAGGCTGGAGTGCAGTGGCACGATCTCAGCTCACTGCAAGCTCCGCCTCCCGGGTTCACGCCATTCTCCTGCCTCAGCCTCCCAAGTATCTGGGACTACAGGCACCCACCACCACGCCCAGCTAATTTTTTTGTATTTTTAGTAGAGATGGGGTTTCACAGTGTTAGCCAGGATGGTCTCAATCTCCTGACCTCGTGATCTGCCTGCCTCGGCCTCCCAAAGTGCTGGGATTACAGGCATTAGCCACCACACCCGGCCAAGACTGGATAATTTTTAAAGAAAATAAGTTTCTTTGGCTCACAGTTCTAGAAGCTGGAAAGTCCAAAAGCATGGCACCAGCATCTGGCAAGAATCCTCTCATAGTGGAGAGGAGGAAGGCAGAAGCCCAAGCATGAGACAGCAAATATATAGGGGTCCAATTTATCCCTTTATCAGGAGCCCACTGCCACAATAATTAACCCAACTCCTCAATAATGGCATTAATCCATTCATGAAGGCAGAGCTCTCATGACTTAATCACCTCTTAAAATCTCCGCTTCCCAATACCATCACATTGGCAATTAAAGATCAACATGAGTTTTGGCAGGGCCATTCAAATCATAGCATACAGGATCCAGGGATCAGGGAATGGACATCCTTGGCAGTCCATTATTCTGCCTACCACACACCAGTATACAGGACCCTGAATAAGTGGTCATAAATCTTTTGGGAAGAACTAGGGGAACAACTACTGTACACACTTCCACTAGGCCTTTCCTACTACAATTGCTTACTCCACAGGTCAAAGAATCAACAATCGAGAGTCCATTAAGAGTACACACTGCCATGGTGTTACAAGGTCCTTTCTCATGGGGACTCTGTCCTCCCCCTTGGTCAATGGGTTCTAAGTTTGAGAACTGGTTCAATTATAGAAACTGGGTAAGGGATCACGGCTTTCCTTGGGGATACCTGACTTCATCCTTCTGCTCATCCATTCCTGATCTTCTTTGACTATACATATTAAGTAACAGCCTGTTAGCAACTTATCTATCCTTCCCAGGAATTCCATGCTCCATTAGCCATCTCCATGGATCCCAGAAGATAAGGCTGCCCTGACTGCCATTCTGACTTGCTGCCCGTGACAGTAACAATGCCCTACTTGCCTGATGGGTAAGTGTTGCCACCTGGCTTCTGCTACTCCACGATCCCATCATTCTCATGGCTACTAGGATACCAGTTCTGTTGCAGCATCTCTACCAGCACCACCCTCAGAGCACAGCCACTACATAGCTTCCCAGTGATGCTGGTGCCTCCCTCATGGACACATTCCTTACAGCCTTGGTAAAAGGAGTGCCTACCAGGCCTTCCCAGTGAGTCTCGTCAGCAGATGGCTTTTTTCTTTTTTCTTTTTTGAGATGGAGTCTTGCTCTGTCACCCAGGCTGGAGTGCAGCGGCACAGTCTGGGCTCACTGCAACCTCCACCTCCTAGATTCAAGCAATTCTCCTGCCTCAGCCTCCAGAGTAGCTGAGAATGCAGGTGCACCACTATACCCAGCTAATTTTTATATTTCTAATAGAGATGAGTTCACCATGTTAACCAGGCTGGTCTCTAACTCCTGACCTCAGGTGATCCACCCCTCTCGGCCTCCCAGAGTGCTGGGATTACAGGCGTGAGCCACCGCATCCTGCCTTACCATATATAGTAGATCCACTTGATCATTCCCATTACTCTGAGCTTTTTGATCCTTCAGTTTGCCATCCCTACTTCACTCAATGTGAGTCATTTTTCCAAGCACCCCAGCAGCATATCAGGACTGGCACCTGAGGCACTTAACAGGATGTTGAATCTTATTTAACAGGAAGGGAAGAATGCCCCATAATGACTCATTATCTTTTACCCAGCTTTCTATCCTCCTTGATCCAGCACCTTCAGGATCTACCCCGAGGCATGTCTCCATATTCCAGGTCCTGCAAACCCTTTAGAGTTTATCATCTCTCTTCCTTCAGCAGATCCAGCATTTTCCTGATCAAGCCACGCTGGGACTTAACTCTTCTTATTGGTCTGATGTCCAGGTGGGGAAGGGAGGGAATATTATAAGTAGAGAAAGCATTGTCTTGTAGGCTAATTTGAGGTTTCTGCATAATTTTCAAGCAAAGGAAGGCCACTGTCTTCTAACAAAGGGGAGTGGGTTGTTTCTGCAGGCTTGAAGGGTTCAGGAAAATCAGGAGATTTGAGGTCCTCAAGCTCATCTACCCAAATACCTTCATCCCAATTCTCAAGCTCTCACTCCCTCCCTATCAGGGTACCGACCTTGGGAAAGCTGACAATTTTGCTTTCTTTGAAGTTCAGTAACTTTTACAACAGAGTCCTGTACATGGTCTTCCACTTGGTTTGCCTTCCAGCTACAGAAGATGAGGGTCTCTTTAAAATGTTCCCAAGGAGTCTCCCTGACTCTCACATTTGACTTTAAATTATAATGGATAGATGTGAGTTATTGTTTTCCCTGTCCAGTGGATTCAGTGATTCATGAAAACTCATCAACAGCCGCTCAATTTTATAACTCTCACAGTTGTTATTTCCCCATGTCGTTTAAAACCCAGAGACACCGAACAAGTTATTGCATTCTCTTGCACCATAGTCCAGACCAGTTCATTACAAGTGAAAGTAAATTACAGGTGAACATGCAATTGTCCTGAGACACCATGCCAGGGCCCATCCATATTCCACCTACCACCAGTGATGGGTTCTTCATTGCCTTTAAGCCAGTAGGTGCTCCAACTCCACAGTCCCATGTTTAGGATCTGGGTTTTGGTTTGGTTTTTGTTTTGTTTTGTTTTGTTTTGTTTTGTTTTGTTTTGTTTTGTTTTGTTTGAGGCAGGGTCTTGCTCCATCACCCAGGCAGGAGTGCAGTGCTGCAATCATGGCTCATTGCAGCCTTGACCTTGTGGGCTCAAGTGATCCTCCCACCTCATTTTTTAAATTTTTGTAGAGATGAGATTTCATTATGTTTCCCAGACTGGTCTCTAACTCCTGGGCTCAAGCATTTGTCCTGCCTTGGCCTCCCAAACTGCTAGGGATCTTAGAAGCAGAACCTGAGCCAGGCATTTGCCCAAGGGATTTGTGAAGAGAGTGCTCACAGGACAAACAGACTCAGGGAGGCAGCAGAGGGCACTGGGAGGTGGGGCAACTAAACAAAAGATGTGGTCTCAGCTGGAGTCCAGCCTCAGCCTGATCCCACATGGAGCCCTGAAACATAAGTGGCACTACACATTAGGTCCCACCTTGAGGCAAGGGGACCAGCATTTTGCTCCTCATATCAGTCAGCCATGGGCTGCAGGCTGCCTCTTTGAAAGAGGGTAGCCTCCTGGGGAGAGGCAGCTCTCATGCAACAAAGGCAATTCAGTGGAACAGGGGTAGCTCTGAGCCATCAGCCACCAACACAGCAGTTGAAGATGGGTATATCAGGGGAGGTAATGAAAGGGGTATGCCACAAAAAGAAGTGGGAAGTGGGGATAGATATTTTAAGCAGAAGAATCATACCCTATAAAATTATGCAGACTTTTACTATTTAAAAAGTATTTTTCAAAATCAGGCACAGTGGCAAGTGCCTGTAATCCCAGCTACTCAGGAGGCTGAGGCAGGAGGATCACTTCAGCCTAGGGATTTGAGAACAGCATGTGCAACATAGCGAGACCCGATCTTAAATTTAAAAAAAAAAAAAAGTATATTGAAATTCACAAAAATAAAATTCATGGAGTTAGAATAGGCATTATTATGACACACAATAGCACGGATGAATCTCAAAATAACTATGATTGGTAAAAGAAGGCAAACCAAAAAAGCACATACTGTATCATTCCATTTACATACAATTCTATAGAATGAAAACTTGTCAATAGTGGCAAAAAGCAAATCTGTGTTTCCTTGGGAGGAGGTGGGACAGCGGGGTGCAGGAGAGATGACAAGAGGGTTCAAGGACACCTCTTCAGTGATGGATGGGCTCACTATCCCGAGTGTGCTGGTGGCTTCAGAGGTATACACATGTGTCAAAATTCATGAATCATATACTTTAAATATGGGCAATAAAACCTATGTCAATTATGCCCCCAATAAAGCTGGAAAAGGGGTTTAAAGAAAGGGCGCTTTGTGCAAGGACTGCCTTGAGACTTGGAAAAAAAAGTTGTAAAAGAGCCAGAGCAGGCACCACAACTGTACATAGAGATAGGGAAACCGAGGCTCAGAATATGTAATTGACCTCAGGTTACACAGCTGGGAAAAGGCACAGCCAGCACTCTAATCCAGGCCCCTTGGCTCCAAGTTCAGTGCTCTTACCAGATGCCAGAATTAAACAACATGGTTAGCTGGGACCCTCCCTCCTCCTGGTCATGGCCAGTGGTTGCAAATAACAAAATCAGTGTAAGTCAAAGAGGAATTGACTGGCTCAAGTGAACCTATTGTAGCAAGGGCAGGGGTAGAGCTGGCTTCAGGGATGTCCAGCACCAGGGAGTAGCAACTGAGCATTGGTCAGCTGCTACTCCTCTCTCTCTCCACCTTTCATCTTTGACTCTCTCTGCACATCGGCTGCATTCTTTCAGACTGGCTTTTTCCATGAGGCTCACAGCATGGCCACTGGCAGCTCCTGAGTGCACAGCCCCTCAACTCTGTGATCATAGAGGCTAGACTCTTTTAGGCCTCCGTAGATCCCCCAATTGCAAGGGAAGAGCTCTGATTAGCTAGCTTGAATCACATGCCCACTTCCAGCCAGTCACTGGTGAGGATGGAAGAATATGGCTGCCCTCTTGTCAACTCCATATTAGTTGGTGGAGTCAGGGGTGCAGACACCACGTGCAAAGAACCACACAAAGCTAACATACCCAGATAAGGCTGTATCCCACCTGGTCACAGAACCACTGAACTGTCTGCTCTAGTGATATCTCACTAGGTAGAGGGTCCCAGGACCTTGTGGAAGGTGGAAGAGAAAGCACTCAGAATACAGGCACTGGAAGGCTCTAAGACAAGCTTGCTCAATGCTAGACTTTTGCCTGAACAGCCATCCTTCAGCACTAGGTCAGTTTGGGTCCTCTGAGAAGCACATGCCAAGAAAGGATTTCATTGATTGAAGGAAACATCCATCAAGGGAAAGGGGAGAGGAGGCAGGTACAGGCAGGAGAGTCTTCGAACCAAACCAAACTCTGGGTCTAACGTCTGTGAAAGCAGAGAGGGGAGCAAGGATTGGACTGGTAGAGAATTGGACTCGGAGAGTTCTGAGACAGTCTCAGCCAGAGAAAAATGGGGAGTTCCCAAGCAAAGGTTGCCCATCAAAGGGTGTGGTGGGCTGAGAAAGGCTCCCCAAAAATATCCACGTCAAATACCTGGAACTGGGCTGTGCACGGTGGCTCACGCCTGTAATCCCAGCACTTTGGGAGGCTGAGGCAGGTGGATCACAAGGTCAAGAGATGGAGACCAGCCTGGCCAACATGGTGAAACCCCGTCTCTACTAAAAATATTAAAAAATTAGCCAGGCGTGGTGGTGGGTGCCTGTAGTCCCAGCGACTCGGGAGACTAGGGCAGGTGAATCACTTGAACCCGGGAGGCGGAGGTTGCAGTGAGCTGAGATCGCGCCACTGCACTCCAGCCTGGCGAGACAGCAAGACTCCGTCTCAAAAAAAAAAAAAAAAAAAAAAAAAAAAAGGAATCCCTGGAACCTTAAATGTTACCTTATTTGGAAAAGGCGTCTTGGAAGATGGGATTAAGGACCTTGAGATGGTGAGATTATCCTGGATTATCCGAATGATCCCTAAATCCATTCCAAGTGTTCTTATAAGAGAAAGGTAGAGAGGGGTTCAAGACAGACAGAAGAGAAGACACCAAGAGAAGAGGAGAAGGCAATGTGAAAACAGAGGCACAGACTGGAGTTACGCAGCCACAAGGCTGACAGCCATCAGAGGTGGAAAGAAGCAAGGAAGGCTTCTCCCCCAGAGCCTCGGAGTGCAGCCAACACCTTGATTTTGAACTTCTGCCTTCCAAAATTGGTAGGGAATACATTTGTGTGTGTATGTTAAACCACCAGTTTGTGGCAACTTGTTATAGCAGCCACAGAAAACTAATATAGAGGGGTCCCATGTTGGGCAGGACTGGCCGACCTCTATTACCCCGAAGTGCTGAGTCTTTGGCCGAGAGCATTTGGGAGAAGCACAGCTAGACCTGAACATTTGGGAGAAGCACAGCCAGACCTGGAGCCACCGATGCAGCAGCAAAAGGCAGTCAGTTGGCTGCCTTTGAGGGGGATCTGAGCGGCACACCTTTGGGGCCACCAAGAACCCAGCACCTACTATGCATCGACTATGTCTAGCACACAGTAGACACTCAGAAACTATTGTTAGATGTTGGCTGCAGAATGGATGAATGTTCTGTTTGGGTTCTCAAGGTAAAATCAGTGGATGAGAAGTACAGGGACATGGATTTCAACTTGGCATAATAATCATAGCCAACATTAGACAGAAACTACTATGTGCTATGCACACGTACCAAGACACATGTATCTATGTATATGTTGATGTATGTGTATGTGTGTATACAAACACATGTAGGTATATATGCACACAAACACACAGTCAAATAAGCTTAGACTTCATTTAAAATTTACAACAATCGTTTGAGGTAAGTTTTATTAGCCCCTTTGAGGAAACTGAGTATTTGCTAGGTGCCAGGTGCCTTGTTAAGACATTTCTCAGTACTTGCTCATTTAAATTACCTGACAAGTCTACAGGAAAGGTAGCATATTCTTTCCTTGTATTTTTAATTTTGAGACAGGGTCTTGCTCTGTTGCCCAGGCTGGAGTGCAGTGGCATGATCATGGCTCACTGCAGCCTCAAACTCCCAGGCCCAAGTGATCCTCCCACCTCAACCTCCCGAGTAGCTGCGACCACCGATGCACACCACCACACCTGGCTAATTTTTAAAAATTTCTGTAGACACAGGATCTCACTAGGTTACCCAGGTTGTCACCTGCATTGGTCTCCCAAAGTGCTGGAATAAAAGGAGTGAGACACTGCACCTGGTCACATTATTCTTATTTTATAAAGAAACAAAGCAATTATTTTATAAATAAATAAGACTCGAGGTCACACAGCTAGGTCAACCCAGTTCCGCCTCCAAAGCCCTGCTCCTAATCACGACTTCGTCCTGCCTCCCATGCACATGCGATGATTCTGTTCCAGGACTCCACAGGCCATAAGCCCACAGATACACCAAAAGGCATTGTGATTTTTTTTTTCCTTTTGCTGCCTGTGGTGTCTGAGATGGAAAGTATGCCAGCCCCTGCTTGGAGCAACCGCAGAAGCTCCAGAAGAATGCCCCCACCTTGCTCCTCTCAGGTTCTCTGTCTCAGACGTGGCGCCATCATTGACACTGTCCTCCCAAGCTAGTGTGTTCTGACAACTTGCTGGTAATGGGACGCCAGCGGCAAATTATTAGCCTCCTCCATCCCCACCGCACGCAGCCAGGCTTGGCTTGTTGCTGCCGAATGCCCGATACATGTCAGCTCTGTTTGGAAATTGGATCCAGTCTGGAAATTCACTCGATCACAGTGGGGATCTGAAGGGAACAGTTGAAACTCCCACCTGGATTCCTGCAACTGTCCTTCCTTGGGGCTTTGAAGGGGTCCCAGGCACAGTGAGGTGGGTTTCAGGCTTGAGAGGCTTCGCCCTGGAGGGAGGGCTGAAGGTCAGAGAAGGCAGAACTGAAGGAAGGAAGGTAGCTGGCATCCTGGGCCAGCCTCACCTGCACCACTGCTTGCCGTGTGACCTTGGGCAAGTCATTCACCTGCCCTGGGCAATGTAGTGTGGACCAGATGCTCAGACTGGTGTCAGACAAACACAGGAGGGAATTCAAGCTTGAACACCACCAGATGGATGACCTTGGGCAAGTTCTTTAACCTTTATAAGTCTCAGGTTATTCATCCATGAAATGGATATAAATAATAGCCCTTATTCATAGGGTGACTTTGAGCGTACTACGAGAAGGCATGCAATATGTTTGGCACAGTGCCCAGCACGTAGGAAGTGCTCCATCAATACAGCTGTTCTTAGTGAGATGAAATGGCTCACGCCTGTAATCTCAGCTGAGACAGGAGTATCGCTTGAGCCCAGGAGTTCAAGACCAGCCTGGCCAACATAGGGAAACTCTGTCTCTACAAAAAAAAAATTAAAAATTAGCCGGGTGTGGTGATGTACATATGTAGTCCCAACTACTCAGGAGGCTGAGGTGGGAGGATCTCTTGAGCCCCGGAGGCTGAGGCTACAGTGAGCCATGACTGCACCATTGCACTCCAGCCTGAGCAACAAAGCAGGACTGTCTCTAATAATAAACAAAAAGTTAAAAGTTAAAAAATACAACTATTCTTACCTGCATCACCATCACTAACTGTACTGGCATACATCTAATCCACCTGGCACACCCACTCCAGCGAATCACTCACATGGAGCATGAAATTTGGAACCGGGATCTAGTCAAGTGTGGCCTCCACCACAGTCTGATATGAAATGATTCATTTATTCATTCACCTCCACTTATTGAGTGAATGCAATCAGTTGTCACATATCTAGAATAATATGTGACACCACCACTTATTGAAGGCTTAATAAAGAGAAGACAAATAAAGATAACTATGACCCATCATCTGCCCTTGAGAAGTTCTCAACTCTCAGTTTTCCCATCTGTGAAATGGGCACAGAGATTCTGCATTGCCTACAGGCTTGTTGTGCAGATCTAATAGGATAACTAGCATTCCACACACATTACACATTTAATCCTTCTGGCAACGCCATAGTGTAGGTATAACTTTCCTCCCCATTTTATACATAAGAAATCTGAGCCTAAGAGAGGTAAAGTGGATTTTCAAAGGTTGAACAGCTGGAAACAGGAGGAGTGGGAGTGAAACCCAGGCATTCTGGCTCCAGAGCCCATGCTTTTGGACACTCCAAGCTGAAATGAACCATAAACAGAGGCCAACATTTTCTTTTCTGGAATTTCTCAGCATCCTTCCAGCCTAGCCTGCCTATTTTGGTCAAGTCAGCAGACAAAAAGACTCTGGTGGGTGCTTGCTCCCAAAAGTCTCTGAATACAGCTCATGTTTCCTGATCCAAAAGAGATGGAATCCCAGACACACAGGACTGGGCTTAGTTTGCCCACTGAATTGGACACATTTAAACATCTCTTGGGTCTTCAGAAGCCTTGCCCAAAAAAGCTTCTACCCACCCCTTGTAGCCACAAGAGCAGGACCTCAACATCCCTTTGCAGTTGGTGGTTCTCCCTTCTTCCCGATGGAATTTTTTTTTTTTTTTTTTTTTTGAGACAGAGTTTCTCTGTCGTCAGGCTGGAGTGCAGTGGTGCGATCTCGGCTCACTGCAACCTCCGCCTTCCGGGTTCAAGTGATTCTCCTGCCTCAGCCTCCCAGGTAGCTGGGACTACAGCTGATAGAATTATTATTCCTACTCATTCCACCATCTCAATCCTTGCTTCCTTCCTGCTCAATGATTCCAGGGTGTGCAGAAGTGAGAGCTCTGTTTAAAGGGCCTAGTACACAGATGTCTACTCCCCAGTCACAGGTGACTATCTCAGCCCCCAGGTGGGATGGCACATCCCTGTGCTGGCCCAGGCCACTGCTAAATCTCCAGAACAAAGCACAAGGCTTGGCTCCTAGGAGGTACCAGACAAATAATTGTTAAATGCATACATAAACATCCAACTAGTAGAAGTATTGGTACTGCTAATTACATTGCATATGTATCTATCATGTGCTGGAAGTTTTGCATACAATATGTCATCTAATGATTTTTCCTCTTACAGATGAGGAATTTGAGGAGCACAATTGTTCTTCATCTTTCCCCCGTGTACAAGATTGGAAGCAAGAAGAGGAATCAGTAACCGAGGAAATACTATTACAACACCAGCAGCACCTATCAATTCTCAGGCATCTCCTACATGCCAGGCCCTCCACTCCTCATTTTAGGCTCATTATCTCCAATTCACACTATAACCCACAGAACACATATTCTTATCCCCATTTTACAAATGAGGAAACTGAGACTCATGGGATTTAAATAACTTGCTTCCTTGTAGCAGGGTCAGGATTCAAACCTAGGTCAGCCCAAGTCCAAAGTCTGTGTGCTGAACCATGAGGCCAACAGGAACGGGAAGTGCAAAGGAACATTGCTATGATCAGCTTGTGCAGGGTACGTACTTATGTCACGTTGAGGTGATCAGTTCCCAGTATCTCCAGAAAGAGAGCCCAGCTCCCACCCTAAAGCTGTGCTGCATCTGCCCTTCCCTTGGTCCCGGACTCCCCCAGCCAAGGCTTTGGTGTTGAGTCTCCATCCTACAGGGACTTCAGGAATGGGCAGGCAGGAGCTCTGTAAGGCAGGAGGAAGCTGATAATCCTCTCTGGAAACCTAAATCTTACCCGAGGGAGAAAAATAAATAGTCTCTAACAAAGAAGTGGGAAAGAAAGACAAAGGCACAATGGTCCTTGACAACTGGGTCGGAGAATGCATTGTTGCCAGGGCAACAGCAGAGGAGGTAGGGTATCAAACAGTGGAAATCACTGTCTATATCACCTGTGTTGAGAATCGCTGCTCTAAAGTGTAATGGTGTATTAATCGGGGTTCTCTAGAGGGACAGAAGTAATTTTATATATATATATATATGGGACTTTATTAAGTAGTATTAACTCACATGAACACAAGATCCCACAATAGGCCATCGGCAAGCTGGGGAGCAAGGAGAGTCAGTCCAACTCCCAAAGCTGAAGAACTTGGAGTCCAATGTTCAAGGGCAGGAAGCATCCAGCACAGGAGAAGGATGTAGGCTGGGAGGCTAAGCCGGTCTAGCCTCTTCACATTTTTCCGCCTGGTTTATATCCTGGCTGTGCTGGCAGCTGATTAGATGGTACCCACCCAGATTAAGTGTGGGTCTGCCTTTCCCAGCCCACTGACTCAAATGTTAATCTCCTTTGGCAACACCCTCACAGACACACCCAGGATCAATACTTTGCATCCTTCAATCCAATCAAGTTGACACTCAATATTAACCATCACAAATGGAGAGAAGCATGCACTTCGTGTCTTTATCAAAATGGAAAGATGGTCACAATATTTTAAGTGACTATCATAGATTGAAAAATGTTAGAGACAGTTTATTAGCACTCCTGGAGTAGTTTAATGGTTACCCTCCCAATACCATTCTGCCTCCTTTGATTTGACTATGTTAAAAATATGTTCAATTCGCCGGGCACAGTGGCTCACGCCTGTAATCCCAGCACTTTGGGAGGTCGAGGCGGGTGGATCACAAGGTCAGGGGTTCGAGACCAGCCTGACCAACATGGTGAAACGCTGTCTCTACTAAAAATACAAAAATTAGCTGGGCGTGGTGGTGGGCACCTGTAATCCCAGCTACTCAGGAGGCTGAGGCAGGAGAATTGCTTGAGCCCGGGAGGCAGAGGTTGCAGTGAGCTGAGATCGTGCCACTGCACTCCAGCCTGGGCGACAGAGCAAGACTCTGTCTCAAAAAAAAAAAAAAAAAAAAAAAAAAAAAAGTTCAACTCTAGAGGGTGAACTACAATTTGTCTAAACCAGTCATGGCACACCAATTCCCCTCTTCCAGTGACTGGTCTAGAAGTGGGCGTGTAACCCAGGTCTGACTGATGAGACATAGGAGAAATCTGACAAGAGGTTTTCAGGAGGTAATCTTCACAGTCCCTTTAATAAAAGAGTGGTACATGCAGAGAAAGTGCCTTTCCTGCTTTGGCTGTCTTCCCTTCCTGGATCTGGATGCTATCTTGTGAGGATGTGATTCTCAGAGCTGCGGCAGCCATCTTGTCACCACGAGAGGAATCCTTGCCTACACACCAGGGAAGGCAGGACAAAAAGATAGTTAAGTACCTATGCCTTTGGTAACACGGAACCATCCTGGAACTACCTTCCAGAACTACCTTTCACCAGGCATTTTGGTAAATAAATGAATGTCTTTATGGTTGGGTTTTTTTTTTTCCTGCCACTTGCCACAAGACCCTTGGCTGCATGTAACAGAAACCCTTTCCATCTAGTTGATTTGGAAAAGGGAGGTTTGCCATAAGGATACTTTGAGAACTCGAGGGTAAGATGTGACTTTGGTGTAGGAATCAACTCCAAAATTCTCTCTCATTGCCCTCCTTCTACTCCTTCACTGCAGACCTCTCATCTCAGCTCCTAAGACTATTCTATAATACAGTGTGGCTCATTCCAGACTCTCGCCTGCTTCACTTCAGGCATCGACAAGACTGAGGCTGGAAGCTCTTGGTCTCTATCTCAAGTCCCTAGTTAAAGGACTGTTGAATCAGTGTGGGCTGGGAGCCTGTGCCTGACTTAACCCTAGCCAGGACTGGGTGGTGGTGCCCACGCATGGCTCCCAGGAGTCTGCCAGGGAGGCAGAGATGGGAACATGGCCAACTCCTAAGGTGGGGAGGGGAGTGCTCGGTAGATGAAATGTATTCACCGTAAATTCTAGAAGGATTACATACCAAAATTTGTAAATGCTTACCTATGTGTGGTTAGATTTTAATATTCTTTTTCTTTATGCTTATCTGTGTTTTCTAACTTCCCTACCATATACATGCAAGAAGAATCAGTAAGACCTGGGCCTTGTCAATTACCAGCTGTGTGACTTCACCTTTCTGAACCTCCATTTCCTCATCTCTAAAAATGAGCGTCACCCTCTCTATTTCATCAAGTTTCATGAAGAACTCAAGAGAATAAAGCAGGTCACTGGCTTGATGCACTGTAAATTGGCAGGTGTCAGGGGAATCTATGTGGTTTTTCTTTTTTCTATTTTTTTTTTTTTTTTTGAGACAGGGTCGTACTCTGTCACCCAGAATGGAGTGCAGTGGCACGATCTCAGCTCATGGTAACATCCGCCTCCCAGGCTCAAGCGATTCTCCTGCCTCAGCCTCCCGAGTAGCTGAGATTACAGCACGTGCCACTACCACCCAGCTAATTTCTGTATTTTTAGTAGAAATGGGGTTTCACCATGTTGGCCAGGCTAGTCTCAAACTCTTGACCTCAAGTGATCCACCCGCCTCAGCCTCCCAAAGAGCTGGGATTACAGGAGTGAACCACTGTGCCTGGCTGCAGTTTTTCTTTTTTTTTAAGAAATGGGATCTCACTCTTTTGCCCAGGCTGGAGTGCAGTGGGGCAATCATAGCTCACTGTGGCCTCAAACTCCTGGGCTCAAGCAATCCTCCTGCCTCAGCATCCCAAAGTCCTGGGATTACAGGCTTGTGCCACAACTCCCAGCCTGTGTGTTTAATTTTTATTTTAATAGTTTTGGGGATACAGGTGGTTTTTGGTTACATGGATAAGTTCTTTAATGGTGACTTCTGAGATTTTAGTGCACCCATAACCTAAGCAGTGTACACTGTACCCAATCTCTAGTCTTTTTCTCCTCACTCCCCACCCAACCTTCCTCCTAGAGTCCCCAAAGTCCATTATATCATTCTTATGCCTTTGCATCCTCATAGCTTAGCTCCCACTTATAAGTGAGAACATATGATATTGGGTTTTCCACTCCTGAGTTACTTCACTTAGAATAATGGCCTCCAGCTCCATCCAAGTTGCTGCAGAAGACATTAGTTTGTTCCTTTTTATGGTTGAATAGTATTCCATGGTGTATATATACCATAGTTTCTTTATCCACTCATTATGTGTTGGGAACTTAGGTTGGTTCCATATCTTTGCAATTGCAAATTGTCTGGCCTGTGTTTTTTTTATCTCCCCTACTCAAATGTTAGGTCATAGCAGCTGGGCACCAATCTGTGTATCCCCCATAGTGCTTGTGCTGGGTTGAATAGGGTCTCCGCCAAATTCATGTCCACCAAGAACATATAAATGTGACCTTATTTCAAAACAGGGTGTTTGCCAATGTTACCAAGTTAAGATGAGGTCATACTGGATTAGAGTAGGCCCTAAATCCAGTGGCTAGTGTTCCTATAAGGAGAGGGAGATTCAAAGACACAGACATACAGGGAAATGGCCATGTGAAGACAGAGGCAGAAATTGGAGTTACACTGCTTTAGGGCAAGGAAGACCTTGGGCACCAGAAGTTGGAAGAGACAAGAAAGGATCCTTCTCTGGGTTTGTTCTTCCAACCTCTAGAGCTGTGAGAGAAAAAAATCTCTGCTGCTTTAAAGCACCTAGTTTATAGTCATTTGTTAAGACAATCCTAGAAAACGAACACAGTGCTTAACATAGTACCTTGTACATGATCCATTCTCAACAAATGTTTGGTGGGTGGGTGAGTGAGTGAGTGAGTGAGTGAATAAGTGAATTGGGAATGGAGTCTAACTGGGCTTAGCTAAATAGCTGTGCCAGTCTCTCTCAGCAATCACAGCTAATGTTCAATGATCTCTCCTAATCATTCATTACTGTAATTCACTCATTCATTCATTCACTCATAATTTCTCATTCATATTTATTAAGTTTCTGCTTTGGGCCAGATACTAAACACTGGGTGGTAATCCCATTTTAACTACAGCAAGAATTTGAGAACTGGTCTCTTTAGCCAGGCCCCAGCTCCCCATGCACCTGGGTTTTGATCGATGGCTCCCCAGAAGCCACCCAACCATGCTCACACAATAAAAGGAGAGAAGAAAATTTAATAAGATTCCAAATTGCCTTCCCTTGAATTCAAATTGCTTCATATATTATGTTCATGATAACTACTGTAGTTCCTATTTTTTCTCAAGCCCCTTCTTTGTTTCTAATACAAGACAAGTTCTTGTGTTAATGAATTCTAGATTTTCATTTAATAAATGTTGCGTGGGAAGCTTCATTATTTGCAACTTCATCAATCTACCGCAGACACACAAATGCCCCTTTCTAAGTACCTGGGATCAATAGAGCATGATTCTCACGTATGGGGACCCTGCACGCTGCCACCAAGAAGAATTCAGTAATTGAAAAGACCTTATAAATCAATACAGCCAAATTGAAAACTCCAAGAGAACTTCGCATCATTCACTCAGGTGCTTGTTAAGATTTCTCTTTACTTTGAGGGGAAAAAAACAACACTGGGAAAAAGGTTGAAGAGGAGGAGAAAGAAAACAGATATTTCTATTTAATCCTAATCACTCAGCAAAGATGGTGGAACTTCTACTTAGCATGCAGATTCAATTTCACTTTGATTACTTGTCCTGATTAATTTTTTTTGTCTTTGCCTTTATTTAAACATAAAATCTCTCCACAGAAGACCACCTAGTGATGGTTTCTACCTCTTTTCCAGGGAGGCATTGAGAGACAGAATTCCAATGCTCACCATTAAGCCTGCCATATAACAGGGACTCAATAAACAGGGATTTTGATGGAGTTGTATTAAACTAAATGGCTGTTATTCTAGAATCTTTGAAGAATGGCAATAAAGTACAGAACCCCTTCCTCTCTGTACCCCCTACATATTTTTGTTGCCTGACAATTCTCTGCCATGGCTACGAGAGTTGAAGAAAATTTTTGTTGAGTTTCCATGATGCTGTTTGGGTTTGTTCCCCGCCGCCAACCCCCACCCCCTTATTTGCTTCCTGATTACAGTAATAAAATCAGCTTCAGAAATTTCACAGCCTGGGCAACATAGTGAGACCCCGTCTCTACAAAAAGGGCCGTTGCAACATGTCCCCTCCCTCCATCCCTGCTGGCTCACTGCCCAGCAGCCACAGCAGCCTTCTTTCTGGTTCTCAGGCAGCAACTTCCTCCCTCTGAGCCTTTGCATGTGCTGTTCTCTCTGCCTCGAATGCTCTTCCTCCCACCCTTTGACTTACTGAGTCCGACTTATCCTTTGGGTCTCTGCCTCATTGTCCCCTCCTTGAAAAACCCTCCCCTGACCTCACAGAGCTAAGTTCAGTGAGTTTATTATGTATTCTAGAAGATCCCTGTATATATTTTTTAAATTATAACACTTACCACAAGTATAATTAAGAAATTTTTGTGTAACTGCTTGTTTAAATTTTTTCTGTCTAGCTAGACTGTAAGCACCATGAGGTAGGGCCCCTTCTCTCACGTCCAGCACCCAAAGAGTTTAAGACTCACAATAAATATGACTTAAAGACATAACTAAACTTGTTCTTGGCAAATTGAAAGAATGGTGATTATTTAAATACATTTGTTATATGCTGTCAAATGAAAAAGCAGTGTATATGGATGCACAGAAAAAGGCTGGAATACTATACAGCAAAAGGATAAAAAAAGATCTTATTTAGGATTATGAGTTGTATTAGTCAATGTTCACCAGAGAGACATTATATACTTACATACATATACAGAGAGAGAGAGAGAGAATCAGGAATTGGCTCATGCAATTATGAAAGCTGTGAAGTCCCAAGACCTGTAATTGACAAGCTAGAGCCCCAGGAGAGCTGATGGTGCAGTTCCAGTCTGAGTCCAAAGGCCTGAGAACCAGGAAAGCTGACAGTGTAGGTTCCACTCTGAGGGCAAGAGAAGACAGATGTCCCAATTCAAGTAGTTCAGAAGGAGAAGTTTCCTCTTACTTAGTTGCTGTGTTCTGTTTAGGCCCCGAACTTACTGGGCTAGGCCCACTCACATCAGGGAAGAAAATCAGCTTTAGTCAGTCTACAGACTCAAAAATTAATCTTATCCAGAAACACTCTCACAGACACACCCAGAATAATGCTTGACCATATCTGGGCACCCTGTGACTCAGTCAAATTAACACACAAAATCAACCATGACATTGATCATTTTAATATCCTTTTGGTTGTTTCTATTTTCTAACTTTCCAATAACGAACATGTATTACCTCTTTAATCATAAAAATAAAAGTCATTTTGTTTCTTTAACAAGTTTTTGTCTTAATTTGTCTACCAGTGTGCAACAATGCTGGCTGGTAAGTGTTTTGTGCTTGTCTACAAAACTAAGATAAACATTCAACAAGAAAAACATTGACCATTAGGGTCTTCAGTTTATTCAATTGTGAGGGGGTCAAAATGAAGGAGCTGCATATTGAAAGCCTACGTTCAAGTCCTGGTTCCCGCATTTACCTTTCCTAAGCCTCAGTTTCCTCTGCTATAAGGATGAGGATAATACATTTACCTTATAAACTAAAAATAAAATATTAAGCCCCCCAACTGACTGAAAAGACCACCCTCTTGGCCAAGAGGATCCCAGAGAAAACTGAAAAACTGAATGCCTGGCCATGATAGGAAGAAAAATCAGACACACCTCATTTGTTACACCCCCTCCCTTTTGGAGTTTAGGCACAACCAACCAGCACTAACATTAAAACAGAGATCATAATGTTGGAGGTGTTGGAACCAGAGCAACTCCATTTTGAATAAGGGCTGGGTAAAATAAGGCTGAGACCTACTGGGCGGCATTCCCAGATAGTTAAGGCATTCTTAGTCACAGGATGAGATAGGAGGTTGGCACAAGATACCAATCATAAAGATCTTGCTAATAAAACAGGTTGCCATAAAGAAGCCAGCTATAATCCCACCAAAACCAAGATGGTGATGAGAGTGACTTCTGGCCGTCCTCACTGCTACACTCCCACCAGAACCATGTCAGTTTACAAATGCCATGGCAACCTCAGAAAGTTACCCTATAGCATCTAAAAAGGGGAGGCATGAATAACCCACCCCTTGTTTAGCATATAACCAAGAAATAACCATAAAAATGGACAACCAGTAGCCCTCAGGGCTGCTCTGCCTAGGGAGTAGCCATTCCTTTATTTTTGTCTTAATAAACTTGCTTTCACTTCACTCTATGGACTTGCCCTGACTTCTTCCTTGTGCGAGATCCAAGAACCCGCTCTTGCGGTCTGGATCAGGACCCCTTTCCGGTAACAAGAAGACTGACAAAACAGACTCTTTGTGGCAATAAGATACCAAATTCCAACCTGAATATGGTATAACATCACATGACAGACAGCAAACCTTGAAGAAAATCAAAATATTTTACCCCAAAATACATTTATTTGACATATTGTTTTTAGACAGATTCTCGCCCTGTCGCCCAGGCTGGAGTACAGTGGCGCGATCTCAACTCACTGCAACCTCTGCCTCCCAGGTTCAAGCGATTCTTGTGCCTCAGCCTCCCAAGTAGCTGGGATTATAGGTGCACACCACCATGCCCAGCTAATTTTTGTATTTTAAGTAGAGACACGGTTTCACCATGTTGGCCAGGCTGGTCTCGAACTCCTGACATCAAGTGATCCGCCCACCTCGGCCTCCCAAAGTGCTGGGATTACAGGTGTGACCCACCGCACCCAGCCCATTTCTTTGACATATTTTGAAATGGCCCTGCAAAGCCATATCTTGTGGGGGAAATTTGCATCTGTAGAGAATCTACAGATTCCTTTTTCCATCCTTTCCTGGATCTACCAGAGATTAACTAAGGGTCTGACACCTTTTAAAGTCCAAAAAGAGATATTTACCACCTATTCTCTCTGAAGGCTACTATCTTGATGCTTCATCTGCATAACAAGAACCTTGGCTTCCACAACCCCCCATATCTTAACTTAAGCATCCCTTTCTAGTGGCATCAAATCTTCAGACAAGGCTTAACTCTTTCAACCAATTGCCAATCAGAAAATCTCAGAATCTGCTGTGGGTGGTGGCTCACGCCTGTTCCCAACACTTTGGGAGGCTGAGGCGGGTGGATCCCTGAGGTCAGAAGTTCAAGACCAGCCTGGCCAACATGGTGAAACCCTGTCTTTACTAAAAAAAATACAAAAATTAGCCAGGCGTGGTGGCAGATGCCTGTAATCCCAGCTACTCAGGAGGCTGAAGCAGGAGAATTGCTTGAACCCGGGAGGCGGAGGTTGCAGTGAGTCGAGATTGTGCCATTGCACTCCAGCCTGGGTGACAAGAGTGAAATTCCACCTCAAAAAAAAAAAAGAAAGAAAAAAGAAAATCTCAGAATCTATCTATGACCCGTAAGCCCCCACTTCATCCCATCTTTTCAGGCCAAACCACTGTATACCTTCCATGTATTGATTTCTGTCTTTGCCTGTATCTCCTGCCTCCCTAAAATGTATAAAACCAAACTGCAACCCAACCTCCTTGGGCACACTTTCTCAGGACCTCTTGAGACTGTTTCCTGGGCTGTGATCACTCATATTGGCTCAGAATAAACCTCTTCACATATTTCACAGAGTTTGGTTTTTCCAGTAACTATCTCACAGGTGGTTTATGTGAAATCAAGTAATATACGTCCAGGCACATCTTTAGGCTATACAGGGCTAGCCCAACATTACCTTGAGGTGGGAGGCAGTATTTGCAATTCTTAAGAGGGAGCAAGACAGCAGGAGTTGGAGTCCTAGTCAGCCACCTACATGCTGTGCGGTCTTAATCAAAGCAATTCAACTCTCTGAACCTTGGTTTTCACATTTATAAAGGGGGATAACACTAGAACCAACTTCACAGGGTTGTAGTGGGGACTATAAAAGGTCATACATTTCAGGTCTTCAGCGCTGTCCCTAGCACATGTGCGTTTTGTATTTTAATTATTTATTCCACCATTTCCCTACTCACATACACCCTTAACCCCTAATCCTGATTTGCACATCTTTCTTTGGCTTTAATTGCAAATCACCATCAATTTAAGATGTCCCTGGGGTCCCAAGAAGCCCTTCCTTGCCCTCAACACCCTTACCCCATTCTCTCTACCAAACCCACTGGCAGCCAGTCCTCCAGGGAAATCTCAAACGTGAAAGGCACAGAACACCACCACATCCTGAAAGTGATCAAAGCCATCTTCCTAATTTCCTTAAATGCAGTGTTGAAAGGAAAGTAGTGAGTGGCTTAAAGCCAGGGATTCGGTTATGCTAATTACACCCTTGAAGAGCCCAGCCCTGAGGCCTCATAGCTTGAAAGGAATTCTGGCAGCTGGGTTCACTTGGAAAAGAAAGGAAATGTGGAATCTAACAGTGGCAGGAAGTGGGACGGTGGGTGGATTCAAGAAAAAGGAAGTTGTTTGAAAGTTGAAAAAATAAAGGAAATTCATTCACATTAAAACAACAAAAGGGTATCTTTTCACCAATCAGATTAGCAAAAACAAGACACTGGATATTGCCCAGTCTTGACAAGGCAGAGAGTAACAGGAGCTTAAACTCACCAAAATGACAAGGCACAGCTTTTTCCAAGGGCAATGGCAGATTCCATCAAACTTCAAAACTTGCATAAACTTCTACCCTCTCAACTCTATTTCTAGGACCCATCTTTCCAACAGACATACACGTGCACAAATACATATGGAGAAGGGTGTGCTTGAAACAAACACAAAAAAGATGGAAACAATTAAATGCCTATTAACAAGGGAATGGATAATATTCTGTTGAAATATTAAATATCTCTTTAAAAATGAAGATTTCCTTGTGTGCACGAGACCCATTTACAACGTTAAGTATTATTAAAAAGGAAATGGTCTTGGGGAAAAAAAATCAGAATCGTAAATCCTGAATGTGAACTTTAGATTTTTAATACATTTTGTTAGGTATGAGTTCTAAATTTCTTTTCAAAGAATCAATATGTCAGTATATTCAATTCTTTGCCTTCTACTGTTAAACTTAGCTTCCTCATAAAGCAACCTTTTCCGATTACCTGCTCCACGCTGACTCATTCTGATTACCTGCTACCTGATCCGCCCTAACTCATTCTCCACCCTGCATAACCATTTTTCACGCCAAACCACTCACCCCGTCACTCTCTTTAAATTAGCCAGTCAGAATTAGTTTAGCCTGTGCGGTCTAACCCTAGCCAATTGGGGAATGACACAGCAGCAGGGGCCACGTGAGTCAGGGTTAAGAACCATATCTCCTCCCTTGTCCAAGTGTGCACTCACCATTGCTCCATCTGTAAGGGCGCAATAGAATTAACTTGCCCTGCTGAGAATTAAAAAGAAAATTTTATATTCGAGTGCTATTCTTTTGCAGCACCGAAACTTTAATTATAACAATTTCAAGTGGCCCAGGCTTCCAAATGTGTTTCTAATGTAGTTGTTTCCTATACCTCAGCTATCCAGAGAGCAAAGACTATGGGAAATACTGATGTCACTCAATACTCACCAAAGATGAAAATGAGTTCATTTCCTTAACCACCTAGTTGAAATGGTCTTTAAACTAGGCCCTATTTACTTGCCAGGAATCTATGTTACAGCAGCACCCAGAAGCAAAAGGAACACATATTAGCCATAATTCCCTCATACATTATCAACCATGGTGATGTTACAGGAAAGAGGTCCTGATCCAGACCCCAAGAGAGGGTTCTAGGATCTCGCATAACAAGGAATTCCAGGTAAGTCCATAGATTAAAGTGAAAGCAAGTTTATTAGGAAAGTAAAGGAACAAAAGAATGGCTAACCCATAAACACAGCAGCCCCGAGGGCTGCTGGTTGCCAGTTTTTATGGTTATTTCTTGATGATATGCTAAACAAGGGATGGATTATTCATGCCTCCCCTTTTTAGACCATGTAGGGTAACTTCCTGAGGTTGCCATGGCATTTGTAAACTGTCGTGGTGGTGGTGGGAGTGTAGCAGTGAGGACAACCAGAGGTCATTCTCGTTGCCATCTTGGTTTCGGTGGGCTTTGGCCGGCTTCTTTACTGCAAGCTGTTTTATCAGCAAGATCTGACCTGTATCTTGAGCTGACCGCCTGTCTCATCCTGTGACTGAGAATGCCTAGCCATCTGGGAATGCAGCCCAATAGGTTTCAGCCTCATTTTACCCAGGTCCTATTTAAGATGGAGTTGTTCTAGCTGACACGTCTCTGACAGTGAGAAGATCTCTGCCAGAACTGGAACTAAAGAAGTGTCTGGGCTGGGCGCGGTGGCTCACGCCTGTAATCCCAGCACTTTGGGAGGCCGAGATGGGTGGATCACGAGGTCAGGAGATTGAGACCATCCTGGCTAACACGGTGAAACCCCATCTTTACTAAAAATACAAAAAAAATTAGCCGGGCGTGGTGGCGGGCACCTGTAGTCCCAGCTACTCAGAAGGCTGAGGCAGGAGAATGGCGAGAACACAGGAGGCAGAGCTTGCAGTGAGCCAAGATCACGCCACCGCACTCCAGCCTGGGCGACAGAGCGAGACTCCGTCTCAAAAAAAAAAAAAAAAAAAAGAAGAGTGTCTGGAATTGATTTACTGTCACGCACGTCCATGTGGAGACAGTCCACCAAACAGGCTTTGTGTGAGCAACAAGGCTATTTCACCTGGGTGCAGGCGAGCTGAGTCCAAAAAAGGAGTCAGCAAAGGATAGTGGGATTATCATTAGTTCTTATAGGTTTGGGGTAGACGTACAAAGTACATTCTCAAGGGCGGGGAGAATATTACAAAGCACCTTCTCAAGGGCGGGGGAGAATACATGTATCACTTAGGGTGGAGTGGGAACAAATCACAATGGTGGAATGTCATCAGTTAAGGCTATTTTCACTT
The DNA here is from genome assembly GCF_000001405.40 of Homo sapiens. Lineage (NCBI taxonomy): Eukaryota > Metazoa > Chordata > Mammalia > Primates > Hominidae > Homo > Homo sapiens. The sequence continues at coordinate 108,444,863 of NC_000012.12, forward strand.
CTTTTGTGCATCTTCAGTTGCTCCAGGCCATCTGGATGTATACATGCAGGTCACAGGGGATATGATGGCTTAGCTTGGGCTCAGAGGTCTGACATTACCACATATGCAGCCCATAGCCTGGTGTTCACCAAAGGGGCCAGTCAAAAATTTCCAGCATACCTGAAGCTATTGAAAACCACATATGTGCACAGTATATGCAAGATAAGTATTTATAGTAAATGTATATACCTTCTGTTCTGAATATACTGTATTTCAATGACGGTCTATTAAGTATTTAGAAATGACACTGGATACATAAAATGGAAAATATCCTGAAGAAACAATGGTTATCACAAGGTCTCACACTTTCTTATCCAGAACAGCTTGTACTTTTTTAGGAATGAAATTTTAAAGACATTGTTCTGTGAGTTCAAGAAATGGTCTTTTCCATACCAGGGTTATGAGCTATTCTGCTTATAAACTACTCTGGGTGTGTACACTTCTCTTAGATCTTTAGAAACATCTCACAGTTCAATGAAAGATAGTTTATACCCAAAATAAACACCCTTGTTATGTTAAAAATAAAAAAAGAAAGGAAATGCAAAACTACATACAGGCAGATGTATATGTGTGCAAATGCATAAAAAAAAACCTTCAAGAATACACTCCAACCTGTTAAAAAGTGAGCACCTCTGGAGAGAGAGGAAGTAGAACTTGAACTTCGTAGGCCAAGCACAGTGGCTCACGCCTGTAATCCCGCCACTTTGGGAGGCCGAGGCAGGCAAATCACCTGAGGCCAGGAGTTCAAGATCAGCCTGATCAACATGGAGAAACACCATCTCTACTAAAAAAAAAAAAAAAAAAAAAAAAAAAAATTACAAAAAATTAGCTGGGCGTGGTGGTGCATGCCTGTAATCCCAGTTACTTGGGAGGCTGAAGCAGGAGAATCACTTGAACCTGGGAGGCAGAGGTTGCAGTGAGCCAAGATCACACCATTGCACTCCAACCTGGGCAACAAGAGTGAAATTCCGTCTCAAAACAACAACAAAGACAACAACAACAGAACTTGAACTTCGTATTCTATGCAAAAAAGGAAAAAACCTAAGAGAAAAAAAAAAGAATACATAAGGAATATGGTTTCTCAATTTAAAAACATCCCCCTTCCAACACCATCTTCCATCCCTAACATTCTTTTTTTTTTTTTTTTTTTTTTTTGAGGTGGAGTCTCACTCTGTCGCCCAGGCTGGAGTGCAATAGCACAAACTTGGCTCCGTGTAACCTCTGCCTCCCAGATTCAAGTGATTCTCCTGCCTCAGCCTCCCAAGTAACTGGGATTACAGGCATGTGCCACCACGCCCCGCTAATTTTTTGTATTTTTAGTAGAGATGGGGTTTCTCTATGTTGACCAGGCTGGTCTTGAACTCCTGATCTCAAGTGATCCGCCTGCCTCAGCCTCCCAAAGTGCTGGGATTATAGGTGTGAGCCACCACACCCGGCCCATCCCTGTCATTCTTAATAAGAAGATAGATTTAGGACCTAATTTTAACTATTCAGAAAGCTTTTAGATGTATGCCTTGCTTAGGTTTCTCTGGCAACTCCCCAAGCCTGCATCAGCTTAGCATCTAATCCATTGAGATCTCCCTATGGGGCTGAGGTCCCTGTCACAGGGTGCCCTAAATACAGAGAAGGCCTAGGTGAAATTTACACATGACACAGTTATGGTCTTGCGTGATCTTTCACTTTTGTCTTTTTGTAAACCTTGATTTATTTTGCTTCCCTTGGCACATTATCTCCCTTTCCAGATATTTTTGCAATGGATATTGTATTCTTCAAGACTTTCTTGATTGCGAATGGGAGAAACTAAATTAGCCAAAGGTGGAATTCATTATAAGTATTCAATAAATGTTTGCTGTTGCTGCTGTCCGGCTGTTGTTATTGAAGGCAGGATTTGCCTGGGTTTTGGGAACAGCTGGATCCAGGAATTTGTACATTCTCAAGAAATTTCTTAATCTCTATCTGCTGCTTCTCTCTGCTCCTGTTTCAATGAAGTCGCTTTCACTTGTGAGACTCAAGTCAAACCAAGTTTAGCAAAAAAAAAAGTAGGGAGGAAATACTGGCTCAGATAACTGAAAACCCCGGAGGCTAGCTTCAGAAACTACTTCATATTGGTGCTAAAACTATGTAAATTACATAATCACCCAGGAAGCGAGGGCGTGCAGCCAGATCTATCGAACCAAATGAACACAGAGTGGGAAAAGAGTCATCCCTGCAAAGGTAAATCTGGGTTTTGTCACCCAAAAAAAGGTAGAAATAACACACACACCCCAGTCTTCTCTCTCTCTATTCTCTTCTCTCTTTCTCTCTCCCACTCTCCCTCTCTCATTTTGCCCTCTCTTGCTTGGAAACTGGCTTCTTCTGGCATTCTGATCTTTATGATAGGAAATAATGTCTGCCAAGAGATCCCAGATCCCAAATTAGCCTGACTCTCTCCATTTCAAGCCCAAAAGACTCAGTGAAGGGTCTGGTATCAGTTATCTACTGCTGCACAATGAATTACCCAGAAATGGTAAGGTTTACAACAACACCATTTGTTATCTCACTTCATGTCTTGCAGGTCAGGAATCCAGGGGCAGCTTAGCTGGGTGGTTATGGTTCAGTGTCTCCCATGCCAGAAATCATCTTATGAAAAAAAAAAATAGAATTATGCGACCCCAAACTCACTATGCCAAAGGGAAAGTTAAGCTTGGGAATTGAGCCACCAATACTGTCTTCCTTTTGTTCCCAAACAGACAGCTGGAATTTCACAACCCAAACCATGAGCTCATTTCCTCTACTCCCTCTTTTCATGTTTATCTTATGTAAAATGTAGATTTACTGAGAGGGAGATAATACATAATTGACTTTTTCCTCTACTCCCTCTTTTCACATGTATAATGTTGATTGATTGATTGACTGATTTTTTTGAAACAGAGTCTTGTTCTGTTGCCCAGGCTGTAGTGCAATGACACAATCTTGGCCCACTGCAACCTCCACCTCCAAGGTTCAAGCGATTCTCCTGCCTCAGCATCCTGAGTAGCTGGGATTACAGCTACACACCAGATAAGTTTTGTATTTTTAGTAAAGACAGGGTTTTGCCATGTTGGCCAGGCTGGTCTGGAACTCCCAGCCTCAAGTGATCCACCTGCCTCAGCCTCCCAAAGTGCTGGGATTACAGGTATGAGCCACTGTGCCCCGCCTAAAATTTGGATTTATTGAGACTAATCAGGGCTTCACAAGAATGTAACCATCTACCTCACTGCATATCTCCCTCCCTTCCTCTCCTGCCTCCCACTCCTTGCTCTTTCTCCTTTAAAAACCAAAGTGCACACAAAGCCCCCTTTGGAGAAAAGCAGAGATCACAGATGCTCCTCCGATTTCTGTTTGTCCAGGGTGCATCCTCAACCTTGGCTAAATAAACCTCTAATGGCCTCAGTCACTTTTTGGTTAACAATCGGAATGCTGTTAACTGGGGCTGGAGAATCCATTTCCAGAAGAAGTCACTCACATGGCTGGAAAGCTCCTGCTGGCGATGGCAGATCCTCTCCGTGTGGGCCTCTCCACGGGAGGCTGGAGCCTCTGCACAACATGGCAGTTGGCTTCACCTGCAGGGAGTGATCTGAGAGACAGAACATAGGCTGAAACAGATTTGGACTGAAAATAATAAACAAATCAATATTTAAATATTTTTTTAAAAGACAGAAAACATCTAGCAGAAACTATCCTTTTATGATCAGCCTCAGACATCACATACCATCATTCTATTAATTTAAAGCAAGTCCCTAAGTTCAGCCCATGTTTTATGAAAGGGAGAGCTTCACCTTTTGAAGGAAGGAGTATCAAAGAACTTGTGAATATGTTACAGGACCCCACCACTTACCCAAAGTCAGTGGTTTCCTCACTATAGTCCCTTCTGTGGACGCCAGAAATATGTTACAGGAAAGCAGTCCCAGCACAGACCCCAAGAGACAATTCTTGGATCTCGCGTAAGAAAGAATTCAGGGTGAGTCTGCAGCGCAAAGTAAAAGCAAGTTTATTAAGAAAGTAAAGTGGTGAAAGGACAGCTACTCCATAGACAGAGTAGGACATTCCTGAAAGTGAGAGGAGGAACACATCCACCCTAGGTACAATGTTTGTATATATGGGGAGATGTGCTCCAAGGGTTTGTGATAGAGGATTAATTTTCTTAATGACTATATTTTGCAAGAATCGATATTATTATCTTTAAAGCAAAATTAGGAATGCCTGTGTTCTCCAGATATCAGGATATCTGGACACTCCCAAGTCTGGGTCTGTTAGTAAACATTATTAATTTGTTCCCTTAACCGTAAACATCTAGAGGCTCAGAATGCCAAACTTTCTGAGGACGCAGCCCAGCAGGTCCCAGTCTCATTTTCCAGCCCTCACTCAAGATGGAGTCGCTGTGATTCAAACGCCTCTGACAGATATATTTTTAAAACAACACAGGACTAATTAGTCTTTCTTGGGTCAAGTGTTTTCCTTTAAAACAATCAACTGTGACCAGAGGCAGGGTTATACTATAACAATGGCTGCTCCCTCTACAATCTTGCAGATTTGGGTGGAAAAAAAGATTTCTAGAAAGGGGGATGCACAAACAGAGAAAAAGAACTCTTTTCCTCCAGCTCCAGAAAGAAAAATCCCAGAGAAGGATTCTGATGGGCTCAGCTCGCATCATATGCCTCTTCCAAGAGCCGTCAATCACTGTGGCCAGGGGCAGGAAGTAATGCTGAAATATGAGAATGCAGGAGGGGTTCCAGGTGGTCACTCATTACCATCTCCACTGTGTGACTTCAAACCATGCCACTTAATCTTTTTATGTCCTAGTCTCAGCATCTGCTAAATAGAGATTAGAAAGCCTTGTACATAGAGTTGTTATGACTATTAAATTAGATGATATCTGTGAAGCATAATGTCTAGCTACAAAAAAAAAAAGCCTATTAAGATTCTTAAGTACTTAAAGTTCATCTCAAAATGGCATTTATTTTTATTTTACTTTATTTTGTGTGTGTGTGAAGGAGTCTCGCACTGTCACCCAGACTGGAGTGCAGTGGCGCGATCTCGGCTCACTGCAACCTCCATCTCCCAGATTCAACCAATTCTCCTGCCTCAGCCTCCCTAGTAGCTGGGATTACAGGCACCCGCCACCATGCCAGCTAATTTTGTGTGTGTGTATTTTTAGTAGAGATGGGGTTTCACCATGTTGGCCAGGCAGGTCTCGAACTCCTGACCTTGTGATCCGCCCACCTCGGCCTCTCAAAGTGCTGGAATTACAGGCGAGAGCCACCATGCCTGGCCTATTTTTATTTTTTTATTTTTTGAGAAGCATCTCTCTGTCGCCCAGGCTGGAGTACAGTGGCACAATCACAGCTCACTGCAACCTCTGCCTCCCAGGTTCAAGCCATTCTCCTGCCTCAGCCTCCTGAGTAGCTGGGACTACAGGTGCACATCACCACACTCGGCTAATTTTTGTAATTATTTTTATTATTATTATTATTTTTGAGACAGAGTCTCGCTCTGTCACCCAGGCTGGAGTGCAGTGGCACGATTTCGGCTCACTGCAACCTCCACCTCTGGGGTTCCAGTGATTCTCCTGCCTCAGCCTCCTGAGTAGCTGGGATTACAGGCACGTGCCATGATGCCTGACTAATTTTTGTATTTTTAGTAGAGACGGGGTTTCACCATGTTGGCCAGGCTGGTCACGAACTCCTGACCTCAAGTGATTCGCCTACCTCAGCCTCCCAAAGTGCTGGGATTACAGGTGTGAGCCACCGTGCCTGGCCACAAATTGGCATTTTTTTAAAAGCAATTTATAATTGGAAAGTCTCAGGGCTCACTCTTCACTTCTAATTCTCATAATCCTTACTTTCTCGTTGTGGCTGACTTCATCCACAAACAGGCTTTCCTTGGGAGAACAAAATAGCTGCAGTAGCTCCAGGTCTCATGTTTGAAACCTATGGAATCTATGGACATGAATTGCCTTTTTCCCTACTCACAAGGAAGAGTTTTGACATTCAGTCAGATTGGTTGACTTCAGTCACCTGTCCACTTCTGAATCAATCACTCTGCCCAGAGGAGGGGGTCTGGGGGCAGAGAAATGGAATGCTGATTGGCTTAAACCAATCACAATCCACCCCTGATGACTGAGGATGGAGTCAATCTCCCAGGAGCACAAGGGATACAAGAGAGGGATGATATGAAAATCAGGTCGTATAAGGAAAGAGGGTAAGAGAGGGTGGGTGCTGTAGGCCAGAGTCAGCTGGCCTGCCAAACCCAGCCTGCTATTGTAAATAAAGTTTTATTGGAACTTAGCCACAGTCATTCATCTATACATTTGTCTATAGCTGCTTTTGTGGTACAATGACAGGATTAAATAGTTGCAACAGAGACCATATGGCTGCAAAGTCAAAAATCTTTACTACTGGGGCCTTTACAGAAAAAAGGTTACAGATCCCTGCATGTAGGCAAGCATACAACTTCCACTGCAGTCGTATTCAAAACACATTTTCTTCCCTCCTCCCAGTCCTTCTCTGTTGAGATACATCACGACAAATCAGCAGAGCAGGCATCTGTCGGCAGAAGAATCCTCCCAGGGTCCATCAACTCCTACCCCATTGCCAATGAGTAAACACACAGCCTGTGGAATCACATCAGGCAGAGGACTGGTTTGAGAAGAGATTTTGTGGCTGCTGGAGCGTACGGGCTCTGTCTCCATTACCCATCACGGAACTTCACCATTCAAAGATCAATGACGTGCAGGCTAGATGATGCTGGCAAGCCAGGAGCTGTGGATCCCGATTTTTCCTCCATGATAAATGGGGAGCAATCTCCAGGAGCTCTAGCCTGGAAGACAGCCCTAGTCAAATTACTTTATCGCCCAGCTGAGAGATGGCCAGCTTGGAGGAGATGTACTCAAGCAGCATGCTAACTAGACTCAACATCAGCACATAGACCCCTCCTCAGAACAGCACTCTCCTCCCTCCTCTTTCCCACCAAAGAGCAGAAGAATTCCACCCTGACATTGGCTTATGGAAGCTGCTCTCCCTGACACTTCCATAGTAAATAAGATCAGGGGTCTATGTAGTTCCCACTCACTTCACATACACATATCTGAGATCACTGCTTTCAAGCTTGCCAAGTGGCAGAGAACTTGTACATCATGGAGTCCTTGCAGACACTCAAAATGCTGGTATATCATGCTTAAAAGAAACTTCTAGCGCAAAGACTAAGTGCACAGGAATTAGAGATAGGCAGAACAGGATTTAGATCCCAGCTCTGCAACTTACCATGGGCAAGTGTCTTAGTTGAAGATCCTTCAGAAACTTACTTTAAGACAAGGGTTCAAGTGCACATAGTTGATTTAGAAAGTGACCTCAGGAAGCACCACAGGGGAGTGGGGAAGAGGAGGAACAAATAAAGGGTGTGTATCAAGGAAGCTGTCACTGGAGATGAATTCTGCTGGAGAACCAATGTTAAACACTGCCTCAATGGTAACTCATCCAAGCAGCAAGGGAACTGGGGTATTAATACTCCAACTCCCATATGTTATTATTTAAGGGATGCTGCCAGAGGCATTAACCCCCTTGCACTTCTGGCCTATTATGTATGGGGGATCTGGTGGCCAAAGAGAGCCCTTGGGCAAAGTGCTGCCAATGCTAGGAGATGGAAGTTCTGCCCGTGGCCTCGGAAATGGTAAAACCCAAGGGTGTAGGAGTGGGGCTTGAAGGGGCATCAACAACATATGCTACAGCAAGCAAGCTAATCTCTCTAAGACTCAAGCTTCCTCATCTACAAAATGTAAATTACTTGTAGCAAATAATATCTAATATCTTGGGGTTGCTTTGAAGGGTAAAGTCAATACTGCAAGTTAACATACTCAGCACAGTGTGTGGCACTAGTAAACATCTAATAAATAATAGTTATGCTTATAAAACATCACCTGCAAAAGGAAATGTGTAATAAATGCCATGCTCATTTTCCAATCAACTCTGAGCCCCCAACCTATGGAGTTGGCAAGAAATCAATCTCCCTGTTTTGAGGTGGTCCTTCGACCTCCCTAAGGTCACATTAGAATCTGAGAGGTTTAACTTGGGGCCAGGAAACAAAGGATAAGGTCTGGACTTCAGTTCCCCATGACCTTACTGGTGAGTTTATAATCCAACTCTGCAGAATCCATTAAGTTTGGCCACAGGAATCTTTGTGGAGGCTGGGGGGCCCAGTACCCAGGGTCCAGCTTCTTTCAGCATACCCCAGCCATTCCACACCTCCCCATCCTGACCACCAGTGGGGGTCCAGCCACCTCCCCAGGATCCCATGAGAGAGTGGATTGAGGCATCTGCCGATCTCCTACCCCACTGGTGTTGAGGGATCTCCCTCCTCACTCATTGTTTGTGCCTCTTCCCCACTCCTCAAAGTCACTCATCTCCCTATCTTTTGAGCCATAAGCCAAGGGCTGCAAGCTGAAGGGCAAACAGAATGGTTCAAGTTCCCTGAGATTACAGAGTGCCTTCTTGGAACTGGGCTCTGCAGCTCCTGGCTGCCAGTATTATCTAGGATGTACATCACTGATCTTTGAATGGTAACATTCTGTGATGGGTAATGGAGTCAGAGCCTATGCACTCCTGCAGCAGCCCCGAAAGCTCTCATCTACCAGTCCTCTGTCTGATGTGAATCCACAGGCTTCATATTTAGGTCATTGGCTATGGAGTAGGTTTTGATGGACCCTGGGAGAATTCTTCTGCCTGCAGATAACTGCTCTTCTAGTATTTTGCAATGTTCTAACAAGACAGAAGAGGAAAGAGTAAAAGAAACATTTATTGAGTACCACTTGTAGCAGACATTGCATGTCCACCTACCCAGCACTCCTCTTTCCCCTTCTTAACAGTATGCAGCAGAGGAGAATTTATAAACAACTTCCATCCATTCTGAGTCTTTTCCTGTAACAAAACAAAACACAAATTAATGGTGTTGCAATGAATTATCCTGTCACATAAAATTTTGTGCTAAATCAACTATCATATCAAATTGTAATATAAGCTAGTAGCAAGAGCCAATGATCTGATGAGAAAAGGATGAAAGAAAAAGCCAAAACTATAAATTCTATTCATTCAGGGTTTTGTTGGGGTATTTTTTCTGTGAATTACAAAGAGACACGTTAATTTCTGAAGAGTGTAAGCAGTAAGCAGAGAAGATATTCCATTCTAGAGACACACTCATGCTTTGAGAAACAGAGTTTATGTTATGTCTCTAGGAGTGGCCAAATGTCTGGCTTTTCAAAATGAACACAAGTAGTTCCTTTTCCCAAGGGGATGAGAGAGTGACCCAGGAAAATATAACCTTGCCTCATCCCCAGCAAAGGTAACAAATGCATGGAAATTTAACACAGATAATTTGCTGCTATTTAGGGCTTTCACATAGCCCCAAATTTTACCTCATTTGTTACTATGCAAGACTGAAAGTTTCAGAAACTCAAATCAAACTGATTTAAGCCTAAAGGGGGATTTACTGGCTGGTATAACTTGAAAGTTCAGGTGCAGCTTGATCCAGGTGCTAAAAAGACAGAATCAAGATTTGGTTCTTCTCTCTTTTTTGTCTCTGTTGGCTTCACTCTCAGGTACGTGTTTCCCCCAGCATAACAAAATAAATGACAGCAGCTCCTGGCTTACATCCCACTAGCTCAGACCCTCAGCAGAAGAAGAATGCCTCTTTATCAGGATATCTCTCACAAGTCCTGGAATTCACTCTGATTGGATGGGCAGGAGTCATGTGCCTTCCCTGAACCTTGTTGTGGCTTGGGATGCAATAAGTCCTCTGACTGGCCAAAGCTAAAATCTTCAGGGGCGTGTGAACCAGAGCAACTCCATCTTAAATAGGACCTGGGTAAAATGAGGCTGAGACCTACTGAGCTGCATTCCCAGATGGTTAAAGCATTCTTAGTCACAGGATGAGATAGGAGGTCGGCACAAGATACAGGTCTTAAAGACATTGCTGATAAACCAGGTTGCAGTAAAGAAGCCAGCTATAACCCTCTGAAACCAAGATGGCGACGAGAGTGACCTCTGGTCGTCCTCACTGCTACACTCCCACTGTGAAAGCCCCAAATGGCAGTTTACAAATGGCATGGCAACCACAGGCAGTTACCCTATATAGTCTAAAAAGGGGAGACAAGAATAATCCACCCCTTGATTAGCATATCATCAAGAAACAACCATAAAAATGGGCAACCAGCAGCCCTCAGGGCTGCTCTGTCTACGGAGCAGCCATTCTTTTATTCCTTTACTTTCCTAATAAACTTGCTTTCACTTTAATCTATGGACTCACTCTGAATTCTTTCTTACGCGAGATCCAAGAACCCTCTCTTGGGGTCTCTATTGGGACCCCTTTCCTATAACAAAATCGCCTACCCAGGGAGCCAGGAATGGGGTTAATCTACACCACATTAAGTCAGAGGTCGGGAAAGCTAGCTCAATACATCAGATAGATGATACCAGCAGAAGGGCCACACACAACTGATGCCCCTGCAGGATCCCCAGCTATCATTTGATTTTCAAAATGACCCCCAATGTGATTATTTGGGTTTTTTACTCTTTTTTCATCTCAAAGTTATACACACACATTGTAATAATTACCTCCATTATATAGACTAAGAAACCGAGGCTCAGAGAACCAAGTAACACCCAAGTTCTCCTAATCAAACAAGGAGGAGCTGGGACCCAAACTCTCCATCTGTGTGACTCCAAAGTGAAGTCTGCCCAGGGTCTTTTCTGTAAATGTCCATTTATAGACCAATGAGTTTTTTTCGGGATTGTTCAAAGTCTTCTACTGTATACACAAACCAAAGATACCAGTGGCATTCCTGTCCCCTCGCTCCCACATCCCAGGGCAAGCAAATTTCAGGAGCCCATTTGCAGCCCCTCTTAAAGAGGAACTGAAGACTGAGTTAGTAAATCTGTGCTGAGCTAATGCATTTTTCTGGTTGACAACTTCACCGCTGCCACCAACCTCAGTGCTTTGCTGATGTCAGGCAAGAAACGCAAAATATATTCTGCCCTGTCATTCTAGTCACCTCTTCCTGTCCAACCCACATCCTAAAAACAGGCTAACAGGATTGCCATAGTCAACTCAGTGTGGTTGAAGGGCATTTCAAGGCTCCATATCCAGAGTGTAGCCTGAGGTCCCCTCTCTAGAGAACGGAGTGATAGAAGATACCAATAGCATTATGCTAGGGTGTCCCCTTCACCTAGAAAATCCACTTCTGGACATTTACCCTAAAAAAAATAATCAGAGATGTGAACAATCATAGACATACAGATATCTTCTGAAATATATGCTCGGAGTGCCCACAACAGATTACCCTGGGCACCTGTTAACAAGGGGCATTAGGCTGTGGTTCACACCTCCAATCCCAGCACTTTGGGAGGCCAAGGCAGACAGATCACCTGAGGTCGGGAGTTCAAGACCAGCCTAGCCAACATGGTGAAACCCCTGTCTCTACTAAAAATACAAAAATTAGCCAGCGTGGTGGCACACACCTGTAATCCCAGCCACTCGGGAGGCTGAGGCAGGAGGATCGCTTGAACGCAGGAAGCGGAGGTTACAATGAGCTGAGATCGCGCCATTGCACTCTAGCCTGGGCAATGGAGTGAGACTCCATCTCAAAAAAAAAAAAAAAAAGTTAGGGGGGCATTAGCTGGGCAAGGGGTGTGGGTGGGACAGGACCTCTGCATTCCACTCAACACCTGCAAAATCAGAATCTCCTAAGCTGTGGCATCCAGCCTCAGTTCAAGTCTGCAGTGAGCGATAATCACACCACTGCACTCCAGCCTGGGCAACAGAGCAAGACATCGTCTCTGAAAAAAAAAAAAAGTAGGGGGGAGGGTGGGATCCCTGCATTCCACTCACACCTGTGAAATCTCCTAAGATGACTCCCAGTGATTCCGGCCTCCCGCTGTGTCCCTGGTATTCACACCCACCTTGTTATAGTCTCCTCCCACCTTGAACAGGCCTGGCCTCTGTAACTAATGCAATGGCATATTGCAGAAATGACAGAGCGCCGTCTGAGGTTAAGTCATAAAAGCCTTGTCTTGCTTTCTCTTGGGTCACTCTTTGTGGGGGAAAGTCAGCCGCCATGTCATGAGGACACTCAAGCAACCCTATAGAGAATTCTGCAGGTCCAGGAGCTGGATTCTGCCAACAGCCAGCACAGATCTTGTGAGAGAGCTGCCTTGGAAATGGATCCTCCCGCCCCAGTTGAGTCTGAACCACATCTTGACTCCTGAGAGACCTCAAGCCAGAAGCAACCAGCTAGGACACTCCCTAATTCCTGACTCTCAAAACCTCTGTGAGACAAATGAATAGTCATTGTTTCAAGCTGCTAGGTTTGGGGGTAATTCGTTATTAAGCAGTAGTTATTACACAGGGTGAGCCCAGGATCTACATGTTTACAGGCTCCTTGGGAAAGTCAGACACACTGAAGCCACTGGAGGCCAAGGATGTCCCTGCAACATTGTTTAGATTCAGAAAGTAACATTGGTGCCCCCTAGGGGATTAGAGAAGCAAATTACAGTCTACCTGCAGGATGGCCAACAATGCACATAGGAGACAGCTAGTACCTACCTTATCTTTTTTCAAAGGCTGCCGAGCATTTATGACATATTGAATACAAAATCAGTTCACATGCACAATGCAAAATATAATCCTATTTTTGTTCCATATAGAGCATTATTATATAATCCCTCATGTCCCAGGCCTTAGCCTGAGATGTGTGTGATTATATAATAGTCTTTTACTCCTTGAAGAAGTTCTTGTCACTCCTAAATTATTAAGGTGCAAGCCCACAGCAGCCTAATGGCTTGGAATTAGCCCCAGCTATTTCTGAGGTTTCCGCAGGAATCCTTTTACCTGAGCTCAGGAATGTGCCCACGGGTCCTTCTGGTGTTGACATCCTGCTGTGCCATTGCTGTGGTCTGCTGGGGCGGCTCCCACCCCCAGCCCAGAAGGCAGGATGGCTCACATTCACCCACATGGGGATACAGGCCCTTACAAATATCCAAGTGAGACCAGGATGTAGTTATTTGTTTCACACATATAATACATAAAAACAATCCCACTGTAAAAACTGGCTTTAAAGGAGGGGAAAATAGAGGCAATTGAGTGTAATAGTTCAAGGTCTGACTCCACCTTTTACTTAAATCAGGCACGTTTGCCTCATGTCTTTACGGTCCCACTGCGCTGAACAATTCTAGGGCCACAATTCCTATTGTATTCCTTGTATAGAGCACCCCCTGGAGTCATGCCTTTATTTCCTCATCTGTAACATGGGGATTATAATCACAACTCATAGGGTCATTATTAGCATTGAGCAAGTAAATTCACGTAAAGCCCCTCAACAGTGCCTGGCCCAGAGTGGGCACTCAACAAATGTCACATCTTAATTACCACCATCATTATTCATATATACTCCACACATATAATTCCACTGCCCTCCCTAGAGGCAGCTCCATTTATTAAGTGGGCACACTTGTAGAATTTTTCTGTGCATTTACATACATAGATTTTGGCACTGATTTTTTTCTTGTATGAATAGGATTGTTCTCTATTCTCAGCCATATGTGTCAGAGAAGCTTCCATGTCTGTGTGCATAGATCGGCCTCACTCTAGTGCAGATATGCCAAGCTTTATCTAACAGTCCCCACTTGTCCAGTACTTTGCTTATTTCCAGTTTTATGCTATTGCACACAAGTTGCAAAGAACATTGCTACATGCTTCTTTGTCCATCACACTAGTATTTCTTTAGATGAGATTCCTAGAAGTGATAATTCTGGGGTAAAGGATATTTGCATTTAAAATGTTGATAGATCCTCAGCCTGTCGGGTGCTACTACAGACAACAGAATAAGAGGAGAGATATAGTACCGTGAAGATTAATTTAAAATTATTGCTAAGAGTGGTTGCTAAGACTCAACATCCAAGCGCTTTACTTGGAACTTCCTGCGTAAACACTCACCCTGCACGGAGGATGTTCTGGGAAAATTGCCACACCTCCAAGTTCCCACCCAGCTCATCTGAACCAAGAGAAGTGGGGAATAAGCCTTCCTGTCTAGTAGACCCACAATACCCCCTGGAGAAACATGGGAACATCTCTCCTCCAAAGGACATCCCACCATCACCCTGTAGTCCAAACAAGACAACCACATAGGCCAGGAGGGCAAGTCCAAGTCTGCTCATTGGATTTGGTACATTACTACTGGAAGGGAGACCAACCTTGGAGACCAGGGTACTCCTTACCAGACGTGGCACTTCTCTCCAGCCTCAGGTGAGAGCAAGAGCAAGCCTGCATATCCCTTCTGCCACCATCTGGTCCTCAATCCTCAACTCCAGCAAGCAAATGCTTGGATGAGAATGCACACCCTGTCTCCCAAGAGCAAACAAGTGCGTTCAGGCCTGGGGCAGCCAAACTCTAAGTTTAGAAACAGATTTTGCTCCAACCCTGCAGGGGCATGTTCTACCAACAAACACAGTTTGCTTTAGGTTCCCTTTAGAATACTTAACTGCTCCATCTGCAGCTTCAGTATTTGAGCTTTCAGGGCATCCCCAAGAACCGTGGATAGTTATTTTGCTTATTTTCTTCTCACCAAGTGCTCACACCCAGAATCAAGGGATGGTCCTGCTCAAAGGTAAACTCCAGTCCCCTTCCCAGAAAACAGAAAATACATGTAACATTTTAAATGAGGGTTTTACAAGCTTTGGGGGAAAAACGTAGAAGCAGATTCTACTCCAGGAACCCTACTAAATATGCATTTATAATTTTGCATTCATTTAACAATATTTACCAAGCATCTGCTACATGCCAGACCTTCTTCAAGGTGCTGAGGACACAAGGGTAGGTAAAGCAAGCCAGGACACTGCAGACAGTCCCCAGCTTATGATGCTTTGATTTTTTCATTTTATGATGGTGAGAAAGCAATAGGCATTCAGTACATTCCTTGATTCACAATGGGGTCACATCCATATTGTAAATTGAGGAGCATCTGTATAGGGATTAGATTCTAGTGTGCATACGCATAGAAAAAAAGGCAAGAGAATATTTTTAAAGTGATAATGGTTATCCCTGAGGATGGCAATAATAGAGATCTTAATTGTTTTTTATGTTTTGCGTTGTTTGAAATTTTTCCAACTGGAAAAAAACTCACAGTATAGATGAATATTTATAGTTATGGGACTATACTCACAAGATATTGCTAAGTGAAAAGAACTGGCTACAGAAGAATATACAAAGTATATTTTTTGTAAATATATATTTACACTGTGTGTGTATCTGTTGCGATGAGTCATCTTGACTAAAGGGATTATGGAGGAATGTGCTGTTCAATTTTCTGTGTCTTTCTGCGTTTTGCAAGTGGTATGAATTGAACACTTATCGCTTTTATAAAAAGGGGGAAAATGGGTCGGGCATGGTGGCTCACACCTGTAATCCCAGCACTCTGGGGGGCCAAACTGGGGAGATCGCTTGAGCCCAGAAGTTCAAGACCAGCCTGGGCAACATGGTGAGACCCTGTCTCTACAAAAAAATACAAAAAAAAAAAAAAATAGCCAGGCATGATGGTGCACATCTGTGGTCCCAGCTACCTGGGAGGCTGAGGTGGGAGGATGACCTGAGCCCGGGAGGTCAAGCCTACAGTAAACCCTGATCATACCACTGCACTCCAGCCTGGGTGACAGAGTGAGACTCTGTCTCCAAAAAAAAAAAAGTCGGGGGAGTGGAGGGTGGGGAATGTCATTTAGCAACAGGAACTTCAACCTATTCCTAAATTATTCTATCCCTAAATTATTCTATCCCTTGGTCTACCAAAATACCTGAAAATTCTCCGTTAGAGTCAGTCATTTGGCTAAACGTTTCCTTCCCAGAGGCTCCTGCTACACTACTTAAGAGGAATAACACACTGGTCTCTGTCACTTGCAAAATGGAAACGTGAACAGGGAATCTGAAAATGAACTGTCACTTTGGAAAGCGAGGAGTCTGCCTGGCTCAGCAAGACACGGACAGACAGGGAAGGGCATGGGGAGTCCCAGTGGCGCATAAGGACTCTCTGCTCTGAAAGTGAGGAGGAGGAGACTGAAGAAAAATCAGATGAGACATGGGATAAGAAGGACCTCCATGCATGCCCCTCTCCCAACACCCAGCACCCACTCTGCAGCCAAGGGGTCAGAGCTGTCGAAGAGTGATGAGCAACCTGTTTACTAAAAAGAAAGAAAAACCTACTTATAAGAGGTTTTTATCTTAGTGAGCCGCTCTGCCTGAGTCTACAGAAATTATCAAGGGTGACATCACTCTCCCCAGTCACAACCCCAGGACTTAACATCCCAGCAACACCCAAAGGACTCACCCACCCACCTCCCTGTCATTGCAGCAGCAGAACTGTCAACCCTAAAAATGAGGATGGTTACGTGAGGAAATATGACTATCACTCCTCTCCAAGCTGTCAGCTAGAATATGAGCCTGGACCTAGACTAGTTGCAGCAGGGACCATGTTTAACAAGGGGCACGGTTGACTGCTGGGACTGCTTTAATATTCAATCCAGACCTCTGATGATGAGTTATTCATTAATGACCAACTGCCTCAAGGCTCCTGTTTTATTGAAAGCTTTACAAACCATCCAAGAAATGAGATATTGAGCTAAACATTTCATTCTTCCTCATTTCATCATTCATCCAACATTTTTTGCAAATACTTACCAGGGGCTAGGGACTGGGGGGTCCAGGTATAAGATTCTTTTGGGCTTGAACATATCTGAGGACACCTTGAATTTTTATAAAAATGTGTATTAGATTTTCTTAATTATGGAAGTAACGCATGCATTGCAATATGCTAAACAACAAAGTAAAGTAAAAAATCAATAATCTCTCCCACTCCATTCTAACTCCAACCCCTTGTAGTTAGCAATGTTAATAGATTGTTGTAGAGTTCCCTTCTCTATGCTTTTTTAAAAAAATGTTCATCTATTTATTTATTTTGAGACTTGATTATGAAACTGGTTAATTTTTGTATTTTTTGTAGAAACGGGGTTTCATCATGGTGCCCAAGCTGATCTCAAACTCCTGGGCTCAAGTGATCTGTCCACCTCAGCCTCCCAAAGTGCTAGGACTACAGGCATGAGCCACTACACCTGGCCCTCTATGTCTTTTTTTACTTACCAAAATATATATATATATATATACGTATATATACATATATATATACATATACATATATATATATAGAGAGAGAGAGAGAGAGAAACTATACACATGATTCTACAACTCATCTTTTTCACTTCATTGTGTATTAAGAATCTCCCTTCAGGGTGACACAGAGATTGAGATTGTCCTTTTTAATAGCTGTGTGATATTCCACAGTATGGCTATAATGTAATTTAATCAACAAGTCTCAGACTGATAGGATGTCTCCTAACATCCTATTTGAGGAGACTCACTAAACATCCTTGGACATCACTGTACTTTCATGGATGTCTAAAGAAAAGACTCCCCAGGTGGGACAGCTGGGTATAGACATCTAACAGTGACAGAGGGTCCCTTTCTGCCCCAGCTCATGGGAAAATTTCCAGTGGTCCTGATCAGTTCCCCACTGGTTAGGGAACAAGATTACCCTTTCTCTCCCTCTCCCTATAAGGTGTCCAAGCCCCTCCCCTTCTCTTCATGGGGTGGAGAGTTGGCAGGATGGTTGGATGGTGGTTTGTTCACAAATGATGGGTCAGAAGCCAGGTGCCCTCCAGGGCAGCTCACTGCTCAGTCCCTGGCCCTTCTCCTCTGTGATCACGATGGAAGCCCTCCCCATTCCCCTCCCACTTCCCAAAGGCCTCCACACCATCCTTCCCTGCTCAGAACGGTCTTCCAAATCAACCTCCTTTTTCCCCAGCCCCAGTCTCATCACTTCTCAGAGACCAGGGATCAGGATTGGGCAGAATGCATCTGCGTGCTTTCATCCTTGGCTCTGTGTCGGCACCATCTGGCACAGGAGAGAAGGGTCCTCAGAACCAAGGTGGGGGAAGAAAGGCAGGGAGAGAGCAGAGGAGGGGAAGGAAGGGGAGGGTAGGAAAGGGGAGGGGAGGGGAGGGGAGGAGAGGAAGGGAAGGGAAAGACAGAGGAAGGGAGGGGAGGGGAAAGGAGGAGAGAGAGGGGAGGGGAATTATTAGGCGGCAAAGAGACCCTTCCCAATACAACCCTACCACATGCACTTCTTTGTCACTGCTTTCTACTCTCTGAACATTTATGGTACATCAAGTCCAGCCCTCCTCAGCCCTTCCCTCTGCGAAGACACCAAGACCATGCACATTTCACAGTGAGGACACTGGAGCCAGGATGGGGCGCGGAGGGGGGGTGTGATTTAGCCGACACCACTCATCAAGTTGGTAGCAGAGACAGGGCTACAACCCAGCTCTCTGACATCCCTTTATTGTGAGTTGAGGAAGGAGTGAGTCTCCATTGCAGTTCGTTCCACCTGCCCTCCAGAATCCCAAGGAGCAATCCTATTAATCATCACAAGAAGGTTAATATGAAAATAGAATCAGGCCTAAATTGAAACAGACAAGTTCAAATCTGTCACCCTTAACCCAGTCCAATTCAATCTGTCAGCAAGTCCTGTTGGCTCTTCCTTCAAACTGTATTGAGAATTCATTTTTTCCTTTCTACTCCGGTCACCTCTGTCCAAGGCACCAGGGTTCCTGCAGCCACCTCCTCTCTGCCTTCCCAGCTCCCATCTTGCCCCTCCACAGGTCTTTGCATGTAGCAGCTGGAGCCTTCCTCTTAAAATATAAACTGGATCGTGTCTTTCTCCCCAGCTTGGAGCCTCTAGCAAATGACTTCTGGCTGCACTTAAAATAAAACCTCCATTTCTCACCCTGGTCGATGAGGCAGGACACGATCTCTTCACGCTTCCAAACTCATCTCCTGCAGCAACCCCTCTCCTTCACTTACCCTGTTCCTCTTTCTGTCCCTGTGAAACTTAAGACTCTGGGCTGGACACAGCTATGATCCCAGCACTTTGTGAGGCCAAGGCGGGAGAATCGCTTGAGGCCAGGAGTTCAAGAGCAGCCTGAGCAACATAACAAGACCCCATCCCATCTCTAAAAAAAATTTTTTTAATGAGCCAGGTGTGGTGGCATGCATCTGTGGCCCAGCTACTCAGAAGGCTGAGGTGGGAGGATCACCTGAGCTCAGGAGTTCGAGGTTCCAGTGAGCTGACTGTGCCACTGCACTCCAGTTTGGGTGACAGAGTGAGACCCTGTCCCAAAACAGCAACAACAAAAACACCAAAACTCCCAGCTCTCTCCTGCTTTCCACAGCCTTTGCAATTGCCATTCCCACTCACTGTGGAAATGGGCTCCAGGTGTCTGCACAGCCAGCTCCTTCTCCTTTCCTCTCAACTCAGATGTCGCTTCTTTGGAGAGGCCTTACCACCATCAGGAATCATCTTGCTCACCTTTCTGCTTATTTGTTGATTGTCTATCTTCCCAGACTATGAGGCACACACCATCAGGGCAGAGGCCAGGTTTACTTTGTTCAAGCACATGGAATAAAGTAGGTGCTCAATGAGTCTCTGAGAAGAAAGGCAGGGAGGATGGGGTGGTGTGGAAGAAGGGAGACCGGTGTGTGCTCCTTAAGGTAACATCCATGCCCGGGCCCCAGACACCCAAGGAACAGTCAGCAGGCCCTGAGGCCAGTCTCACCCCTCCATCAACACACCACAGCCAGTGTTGTTTGTAGCTCAGCGTGGGCCCCCATTGAGTCTGGCTATGGCATATTCAGAACAGCCAGGGCCTCTAACAAGGTGAGTGGGGACCTGGCAGTCATTTTCTCTTTGCAGCTGTGACATCTTCACGGAAGTTCCTCTTTGAGTCAGGTTTGTATCTCTTACCTGACTCTTGCAGCCACGACTTCTGGAACTCTGTCTCCCAGGATGTGACCGTGTACTAAAATATTTTACATGCCATGTATCCATGATAGTTCCATGAGGGAACTACCATTATCATCCCCATTTGAAAGATGGGGAAACTGAGGCTCAGAGAAATTCTGTAATGAGCTCAAGGTCATAGAGCCTCTTACCAGCTGAGCTGAGATTTAGACCCAGACAGGCTGAGTGCAGAGCTGATGCTCTTGACCATGACACTGGAGACCTCCTGGCACCAAGGATGCCATAGGATGAGTGAAGTCTCCAAGAAGTCTACCAACTGGTTTCTGCCTTAATTTTCTTGACCCCAGGACCCAAGGCCCCGGGTGCAAGGGTAGCCACAGCAGAGGCTCAGAAGTCCACACTGAACTGAGGAATGGGGTCAGTCCTACCCTGTGTCAGAAATCCCTTTCTCTTGCTTTGCGAGGCCAAAGGGATCAAGTCAAACCAACCATGGCTGTTTCCCTAAAAATCCCATTTTCCCTCTCAGTGAAGGAGAAAGCAATATGATTCTGCAGGCTCCCTGAATGGTGAATTTGCCCCTGTTAGGCAGCTTCTAGGGCTGATTTGGAGAAAAGAAACAAATCACTCCAGCACCTAAATCTAACAAGCTGGGAGAGATGGCAGTAAGGATTGCTGCCGGGAGGTGGGGCAGGAACCAGGAGATGTTTATAGGGCACCAGAGAGAAAGAAATGGGGATGGTTGAGCCCATTCTGCTGCTGACCCCAGATTTATACACTACAGGCCTCGTTCATGGTCCCCATGGGACCACAGGTCCTTTCAGCATCTCCTCCTAGCTTGGGAAGATGAATCACACACACAGAGGAAGCGAGTGTTGCTGTATCTTTGTGAGTGAGCCTGTGTGTGCTTGGATGTGTGTGTGTGCACACATTGGAATGTCTTTGTGTGTCTGCCTCAGTGTATCTGTGTGTCTTTGTATATGCATTTGTGTTTCTGCCTTTGGCTACATCTTTCAGATGGATGAGATCAGTTTCTCTTTCAAGTCGCCTTTTGGGAGTTTACTACAAGATCCGCTTCCCTCCCCTCTACTGGACAGAGTGATGCCTCATCTTCCCTGCCTCTGAATGTTGAGGCACCTTCTCCCCTGCTGACAAAAAATCAAATCTTGGAGGTGGTCTTCGATTCTACTCAGGGGAAGTAAAAGTCTGTAATTATGATATACTACCAAATGAGGTGGGTGGTTTCAAGCCCCTAGCTGGTAAATTCCCTCCTCTTTCCTTCTTGCAAGTCAATTCCTTTTGTTTTTTGGGTTTTTTTTTTTTTAGATGGAGTCTTACTCTGTTGCCCAGGCTGGAGTGCAGTGGTGCAATCTCAGCTCACTGCAACCTCTGCCTCCCAGGTTCAAGCGATTCTCCTGCCTCCACCTCCTAAGTAGCTGGAATTACAGGCATGTGCCACCACACCTGGCTAATTTTTGTACTTTTAGTAGAGTTGGGGTTTCACCATGTTGGCCAGGCTGGTCTCGAACTCCTGACCTCAAGTGATGCACTTGCCTTGGCCTCCCGAAGCACTAGGATTACAGGCATGAGCCACCACCCACTGCACCCAGCCAAGTCAGTTCTTATTTAGAGCAAAGATTTTTTTTCGCTGATGCAAACTATTTAAGCTATTTATGTAGTACTTATTCCCCTGCACAGACATGTGATAGCCACATATTTAAAGTCTGTAAATAATACTATCAAAATGATCTTAATCTTCTAAATCTCACAAATGTTTATATTTTACAACCCAATCAAAAATTAATGCTAAACAAGCCAATCATAGAGCAAAGATTTTTAACCTCTGCATCTGTCGTCATGTTTTGGGCAACATGTGCAGCCTACCAGCTCTCTTCTGTGCCTTCATGACCTAGAAGCTACATGTGGGGTGGCAGCATCACAAAAATCAAAGTAGCCTGAGTCCCTAAGTAATTGCATGAGGGACCACCACCATAGAGGGTTGACTGACTCCCAACAGAATTTATGTAAGAGAAACAAAGCTTGATTGTCTAAAATCACAGAGACTTCTGGGTTTGCTTGTTACTGCATTCATAAGCTTATCCTAACTAATACAACAACTAAATCATCTTATGTATCCCTGGTGGTATACACAATAAAACCTTGGCATACATTTGACTTGGCTATTTCTAAGATCCCACTTAGCTCTGAGACTCGATAATCCTAACCTCTTATGATAGCATGACCCTAATTATTTACCCAGATCACACCTCTGGGTCTCTGAAACATAAATTTGCAGACTGACATTGCCACCCAGCCCTCTAGTATATGAGGAGATACGTCTAAAGATGCTACCAGGCCCTCCCAGAATGGAAAAGCATGAAACTGAGGGATTTTTTTCTGCGACTGTGAAGCTTCTATATTTATTGCCCAGCCAGCTGCATTTCACCCTGTGCTGGGCAACGGTTCCTAGATGAACCCAACCCAAAGCCCTTCTCCCCATGAGCCTTTCTACAATCCAAACCCTCCCAATTAAGGAGACAACTTTGAAATTAACCCTAACTAAGTCTCAGAAGTGTCCTTGGACTTCAAGCAAGCTGAGTACCTTGGGGGACTTATTCTGGCTCTTGTTGGACTTGATACTCATGTCTACCGAAGTGTCAGGTGACTTGGGTTCCAATCACAGCTCTCGCATTCCTAGCAGTGTGAACTCTGACAAGTTACATGGCCTCTCTGAGTCATATCTTCAACTGTAAAATGTGGATAATAATAGTACCTGCCTCCTAGGATTGTCCTGAGGATATACAGAGCATAAAACTAGTGCCCCAACGTCAATGAAAAAAAGGAGCCCTTTGTGTAAGCAGAATGGGGGAAAGCACCCATAACCAAACTCTAATCAGACAAAGTGTCAGCTCTTTAGCCATTGGAGTCACCAGTAAACTTGGCCTGAGAGAGTAAACCTTCAATTCACTATTGCTGTCTAGCTAAGACAGGCTTCTCGGGGTGCCATTGTTATCAGGGATGGGGAGGAATGGGACAGAGCACCAGTACCTTTTGATGAGGAGGAGAGTCACTGCTTAGGTACTGCTGGGGAAGTCCCAGTCAGGCAGTGAGATGCTCCAGGCACTAAAAAGACAGCATGAAACGGGCACATATATCACTTCTTCACTTGAAGTCCCAGTTTCTTCCCGCATCAAATCCACAGGCTATATTGAGGGTCTAAAGTGGCTGCCACAGATTTTAAAATGTGGAGACCCTGCGAGGTGTTATCATTGCTATTGCCAACATCATTACTGCATACGCTTCTCCCCATGAAAAGCCCTTACAGAAACTCCCCCGCCACCCCCATATTTTCTCCCTCAGAGCCCCATACTACGTGGATGGATAAATAAAAAACCAATGCTTTTCAATTTCCAGGACCCTCCTGAGATCATTATTCACTCTCCAAGAGGGTAGCTTTTAATTCTGCTATAAATGAGAGGCTGGCCTTTAACTCCCCACTCTCTGTTGTCATGGAAACTGGTGCACTAGCAACTTGGCGTGGAAACAAGAAATGGGTATTCTTTTTCCATCAAGAAGAGGAAAGGCTGGGAGAACTTCAAGGTAGGAGGTGGAGACCTTGCACTCTATGTGATCTCCCTTTGAAAAGGAACCACCCAAAAGATGCCAATAAGGAAATTCTATTGCAGAGCCCTAGAACTAACTTCAGGACCATGGAGAGCTCCCTGAAAAGTTAAAGGTTGAGCCAGGAGCAGGAGAAAAAATGAAGTCAGTAGCTACACCATATCCTCAACTTCTACAGAAGACAAAGTATAAAAGGCAGGGACTGTGCTGCAGAGGCGAGAAGACGAGAGGGGAGGAGAGAGGAGTGGAGAGGAGGGGAAGGGAGGGGAGGGGAGGGGAGGGGAGGGGAGGGAAGGGAAGGGAAGGAAAGGGAAGGGAAGGGAAGGATCCCTCTGGCATTAATCCGTCTTAGTCCCAATCCCAAATTCCCAGGATAAAGACTCTACATGGGGAGGTGTTTCCCCTTTAGCTAATTTGCTATGAATAGGGAAAGTGGGACCTCACTGGACACATGTGGCCAGTGGGTACACATCCAGGGACCCTGTGGATCAGAGAGGTGCGAGAAGCAGTGTTCAAGAAGATGGGAATGAATGTGAGCTGTGCGAGATCTCATAAACTCACTGTGGCAATGATAGATCCTGGACCCTAAAAATAGAAAGAATGCATTCTCTAAAAGCTGAGAAATTTGGCCAAGGAAGGAATTGGGGTCCATCCTACATGGAAGCCAGTAATGGGGATGGGAGAGTTAAGCCAAACCCATGAACTTTAAAAAGCATCCAACTTCTACTCAGTAGTCATTGAAATGGTCTCCATAAAGCTCCGAGGCAAAATTATAGATCATCATTTTAATTGAGTGAAATTGGCTATACATTAATATTCATGATTATTAGAGCAGCTAATTTTCCTCTTTATAGAAAGTGAGTGGGGGATCATTTCAGCTGCTACTTACTTTTCCTCCCTTTGATTTCTGCGGAGGAGGTGAAAGAATAAAACACACAGCACTTGGAATCAGCCATCAATTTTGGAATGTTGGGTAATTATCAAGGATTTTTTAAATTGCTTTGACCTCTTAGAGGGACTGCGTAGAAGCATTCTATGAATATTAAAAAAAAAATGCACCTGCTAGCCTCCAGGCCTGGTCCCTTTGGCCAAATAAGGGCAGGTGACTTAAATGACATAAGCACCCCATCCACTCCACTGCCCCACCAACCCACCAAGGATGAAAATAACAACAACAATAACAATAATAACAGTCATCAGAGCCCATGCTGGGTGCAGCCAAGATGGGATGAGAGTGCACAGGTAGGGTGACAAGGGTGTCCATGCATGGAAGGGGTGGCAGCTGAAACAGGAGAATCGTTACATTGACCACTGAGTATAAATGGATTTCTCACTGTCAGAGAAAGGAGTCACAAATGTGGAAAGGAAGAGAACCAGAATGAGCTCTATGGTGATGGATTGGAGTCAGAGGTGTATTAACGTGACTTTCTGGTTTCCAATATGGAGAAAAAAATCTAATAAATATAGATGTAAACATGTTTGTACATGTGTATATCTACATACACATACATGTGTGCACACACACATGTACTCCCTAGATTTGCACATTAAGAGGACCTGGAATCAGTGCTGCCCTAATAGCTATAAACATACTTTACACCAATATCTTTGTTTCCAGATATTCTCCACTAAATTGAATCAAGGCACTTTAGGGAAATGGCTGATTCCAAGGCTGGCTCCAGGAAAAAACAAGATAACTGGAACATCTTGTGCCAGAAAGCAAGAAAACATTCAAAGTATCATAGGGGTCACATCAAGGGACACAGACACCAGCTTGAAGTGGCTCTCACCAGCCAAAAATGACGTGATTTGAGAATCAAAATAAATGAGAATAGTAATGAATTACAGCCCACTCAAAAAACTAGCATGGAATGAGTTCATACTGATATAAATAAATGAATGAATAAAGTAAATGTTTGATACTGAATAGGATATTTACATAATTTCAAAGACCCTCCCCACAAAAAATACTGCGAAGACAGAAAGAGTAATTTTAGAGTGGAGAGAAGTCCCCTGTGGGGAGGGCCCCTCAATTAAGTGACCAGAGTGAATGCCAGCAGTAATCACATGCCATCCAACAGGGTTCCATGAGAAGGATGCCACGTCTTTCACATGCTATTCCTGCCCAAGATGCATGACCTGAATCTATTCACCAGGGAGCATCAGACACACCCACACAGAGTGACATTCCACAAAATGCTGGCTGTCCCCTCCAAAAGCATCACGAGAGTCCAAGAGAGACTGAGGAACACTCCAGACTGGAGGACATCCAAGAGACAGGACAGCTAAACACAACAGTAGATGCTGAACTGGATCCTTTCACTGGAAAGGACGTTATTGGCACAAATAGGAAACCGTGAATGGGGTCTGAGGATTAGATGGGTGTAATGTTGCAGGATTCATGTCCTGACCTAACAATTTTACCATGATCACTAAGAGCATGTCCTTATTTTAAGGAAATAGACTCTACTGTATTCAGGGGTGACAGGGCATCGATTTGACAACTTATTTTGAAATGGCTTTGGAGGAAAAAAAAGTGATCTGTATTGAACTTGCAACTTTATAATAATGATCATAGTAACTGCTAATTTGAATGTCTACTATGCACAATGCACTTTTTACAACTCTGTTTCTACCTTATAATAACCTTACAAAATCATCCTAATATATTCCCATTTCATAGATGAGAAAACTGAGGTTCCAAGAAGTCAAGCATCATGCACAAGGTCATTACTACTTTTATTCTACAAGTGTGGACTGTGTCTCTGGGGACTGTGCCAGACACTGGGCATATAGTGAGGAATAAAATAAGCATGTCCTTCTCCTAGTGAGGAATAAAATAAGCAGGAATTTTAAATCCAGGATGCGCTATGGGCAAGAACCAGGAAAACAAACAAGGAAATCATTCCTGGCAGGATGAGAGCCGTGAACATACAAACACAAGGTTTTGGAGAAAGATGATATTGAGGAGCAGAGGATGAACCCAGTCTGTGAGCCTTTATGGGTCTTGGTAGAATTTGGATTTTATTCTAAATCAATGGGAAATCATGGTCATGATTTGTGCATGGAAATGACATGATCTGATTTGGGTTTTTTGGGGGTTTGTTTGTTTTGAGATGAAGTCTTGCTCTGTCACCCAGGCTGGAGTGCAGTGGTGTGATCTTGGCTCGCTGCAACCTCCACCTCCCAGGTTCAAGCGATTCTCCTTCCTCAGCCACCTGAGTAGCTGGGATTAATTGCAGAGGTGTGGTACCATGCCCAGCTAATTTTTGAATTTTTAGTAGAGTCAGGGTTTCACTATGTTGGCCAGGCTGGTCTCAAACTCCTGAATTCAAGCGATCTACCCACCTCGGCTTCCCAAAGTGCTGAGATTACAGGTGTGAGCCATCATGCCTGGCCCTGATTTGTATTTTAAAGGAACTTCCTAGCTTCAGAGAGGGATTATCAGGGCAAGAAGAGACAATGTGGGGGCCAATGAGCTGCTAAGTGGCAGAGCCAGTTTTCCCCACCCCCAGGTCTCTCTGGCCTCACTCTCTTGCCACTCCAGCAGGTACCCTGAGTGTCCTCCCCATCCCTCCACACTTACCTCATCTGGTTGCCCTAAGCAGGTCGGCATCGCCTGGAATTAACACTGCCTATGCGGCTGGGAAAGCATCTCTCCAGTGATGATTGTAGAAGTTGCTGGGTAAATACATATTTAGCAAAACGAGCCACTCCATAGTAGCCTCTGAGATTCCACATTGCAGAGAGATTAAGGGAGGAGGGGGTGGCTCTAGGATTAAATAAGATCTGGGTTCTAAGGCCCAGGTATGCCAGGTAGCGAGAGACAGAGGTGAGAAGCACATGGGCTCCTTAAACTAGAGCTGATAATGATTCTCCCCACTTTTCTTGTTTGAATGTCTTCCATTTTAAGTCCCCCCATCCTGTAGTCTACACCAGCTTGTCCTACAGAACTTACTGTGATGATGGAAATATTCTATATCTATACTGTTCATTGTGACAGCCACTAGCCACATGGGGCTACTGAGGACTTAAAATGCAGCTGGTGCAACTGAGACTGAATTTTTCATTTTATTTAATTGTAATTAATTTGAATGTAAATAGCCCCATGTGGCTAGTGGCTACCACACTGGACAGCACAGGTCGGCACACTGGGGACAAAATGCTAAGACACAGTCCCCTGGAATGGACACCTTCACCCAGCTTCTCAGCTCTAAAGAGAAAGGCAGCCAGTGAAAGTAGCAAACCACAAACCCAAAGGTGACCTGACCTTTGCCATACGACATTTGCCCCTTGGCCCCCAGGATAATTGCCAGGTTTACCACCCCTTTGTCCTGTCTAAATGATGCTGTTTCCTTTCAAAGATGCACGCTTATTTTAATGAGAACATACAACGCTAAATTGCATTTCTCTTTCTTCTCTCCTGACACAATTCTCCTTCTAATAAGATTTTCCCTGGCTAACCCATTTTCGCAGCAGCTATTCTAAAAAGCCATCTTCTGATTGAGCTATGACATACACAAGGCAGGTGAGAGAGCTTGAAGCACAAAGCCAGAGGGATATAGGTCTATTTTCTTACCTCCTTGGGGAAAGCCAGATAACATAATCAAGCCAAAGACTATTTTCCTAACAACTGCTGTGAGGCCAGCTGACCGGCATTTGCCATGATCAGTCATAATGGATGATGTTGCCAGCAGACGGCATCTTGGCAATGGGAAAGGCAGACCCAGGCCCCACTCTTCTCTTGCAGGAACTTCTTTAGCCCTGAAAAATGAAAGCAGAGACCCATTTCTTGAGCAAAGACAAGCAGAATTTATTATCTAATATCAGATTGTATGAGGAGCTTTCAGCCCAACTCGTGATCCGAAAGCTCTTAAAGTGGTGAGTGACAGGGACCCTTAGCGTAGATTTTTCATTCTCTTATTCCTTATATTCATTATCAAGTGATGGCCTCTTTAGCTCCAAAATGTAATTGAATCCATTTCTTTCTCACCACCTCCACCACTACTACCCTTGCCCAAGCACCCAGAGTAACGGCATCAGGCGATTACTCTCAGTCTCTCACCCACAGGAATGAAATAACCTCCTCCAAGCTCTCCTTGCTTCCATTCTTGCCCTTAACACCCACCTTTCACACACCACCCAGAGTAACTGCACCAGGTAGGATAGGTCACATTATGCTGCAATAACAAATAATCCCCAAAAGTCAGTGACTTATAACAACCAGGGTTTACTTCTTGTTTATGCTCCATTCAGCTGGGACATCTGCTCCAAGTCCCTGCTTGCAAGATTCAACATTGGTGGTTGCCATGGCCCATGACAGAGGGAAAGAGTTCTGGAGCATCTTGCATCAGCAATGCAACGTTCCAGCCCGGAGGTGACATCTATTATTTCCACTCGCAACTCACTGGATAGGACTAGTCACATGACCCTGCCCTATAATAAGAAGGCAGTAAGTGCAACCCTCTCCCATCTCCTGAATACAGAGAGAATGTTGAACTGGAGGGGATCTAAGAGATAATCAAGTTCAACCTGCTTGTTCCAGAAGCAAGGAAACTGAGGCTTAGAGAGGAGAGGGGTTTATCTGCAGTCACAGAGCAGGGTAAAACAAAAAAGCTTCTCTGCTCCAAATTTATGTGCAGTCACAGAGCAGGGAACAACACAGAGCTTCACTCCAAATCCAAGTATTCTTTCATCCATCCATTAAATAGTAATAAAGGAACTACTATGTGCCAAGCATGGCTGGGAAGACAGAAATGAGCAAGACCCACCCGGCCCCTGCTCCCCAAGCTCACAGCTTGGCCAGAGAAGTGGATAACTAAACAGGCAATTACAGCCCCCTGTGAAACATGCTGGGTGCGCATGGTGTCATAACACCACACAGAACTCTCTCTGAATGGCTCTCCAGTGAATTCTGTTTTTTGGTCTTCATTTTTTTGAGGTGGAGTTTTGCTCTTGTTGCCCAGGCTGGAGTGCCTGGGCAATGGCATATCGGCTCACTGCAACCTCTGCTTCCTCGGTTCAAGTGATTCTCCTGCCTCAGCCTCCCGAGTAGCTGGGATTACATGTGTCCGCCACCACGCCTGGCTATTTTTTTTTTTTTTTGGTCTATTTAGTAGAGATGGGGTTTCACTATGCTGGGCAGGCTGGTCTTGAACCCCTGACCTTAGGTGATGCGCCTGCCTCGGCCTCCCAAAGTGCTGGGTTTACAGGTGTGAACCACCGCACGCAGCTGAATTCTGTTTGTTATAAAAAGGTTATTGTTTTTGCCAACAGGGCAGGGCTGAGCTCAGAGCAGGGCTGAGCCAGGTTTCCCTTGTTTATAAAAATGAAGGAATGATGTCTTGTGCACCCTAGCATCACGGGACAGATTTCTACTAATTTCCTGAGTATGGATGAGTCCACTCTCCCCTTGCGGGTAGGTGTTGGGGTGTAGAGGCAGCCATGTTGCATCCACCAGCATCCTTTGGTTGCAGGCAATGGATTGGCAGGAAATGTAATAGGTGCTCAGTAAGTACTTACTGGATGAATAAAAAAAGAATGGCGGCCTGGCACAGTGGCTCACGCCTGTAATCCCAGCACTTTGGGAGGCCGAGGCAGGCGGATCACTTGGGGTCAGGAGTTCGAGACCAGCCTGGCCAACGTGACAAAACCCGGTCTCTACGAAAAATACAAAAATTAGCTGGGCGTGGTAGCACATGCCTGTAATCCCAACTACTAGGGAGGCTGAGGCAGAAGAATTGCTTGAACCCGGGGTGGGGGGGGGGTGGTGGGGGGGGTGGGGGGGGTGCAGGTTGCATTGAGCCGAGATTGTGCCACTGCACTCCAGCCTGGGCAACAGAGCAAGACTCCATCAAAAAAAAACAAAACAAACAAAAAAAACACAGAATGGAAGGAAAAGCTGAAACACCAGGCTCCAGAAAGGCAGGGGCAGGGCAGCTCGGGGAGGTGGAGGAAGAGAAAGGTGTATTAAGTGGCAGGAACCAACGGAATACATATGGGATGTTTGCCTTGGCATTAGTGAACTCCAATCATTTTAGGTCTTTGTGCTCATGATCCAAATTCCTGGGAGATAGCCCCTGATTGGTCCAGCCCAGAGCCAATGCCCTGGTTTGCAGCAGATGCTGAGACTCCCACAACCAGCCCCCTGCACAGGGGGGCGGTCCCCACTTCCAGCTTCCACCATCTGTGCTTCCTTGCCTGAGGGTACTCTTGCCCACATCCTCAACAGAAAGAGTTCTAAGGAAGCAGCATCCCCAGGAGCAGCCTTCAATCAATAACTCAGAGGACAGTACATGGTATATGAATACTCCACTCCCCATCTCAAATGGGAGAACCCTGAGGGGCATATTCTACACTGTCACCCTGAGCTCCTCAGTGGGATTAAATTACACTTGCCCACAGTGGAAATGGGCTTGATGATGCACCTTTTATCAGCTTCCTGCCCTTCCCTGTGTCACTTCTCTCCCCAACCCTGGTATCTGATATTGCCTCCCAAATAAACCACTTGCACTCAAGTCCTTGTTTTAGGATCTGCTTCCTAGGAGAGAGGTGGTGGGAGACCCAAACTAAGACACGATCCCTCTGATGCCACCTGTATTGGGGGGAGGAGAATTGTCCTAGGATAAAGCAGAGATTCTGATACCAAAATAGAAATCCTGGGTGTGCAGAATGACAAAGAGTCACATAAATACTTGTCACACAGGGTCACTGTGGGGATAAAGTAGCGTCTACTGCAGAGTGAGCCCTAATAGTTCACTCTGCCTCTCTGTTCCCCAAAGCATGTGTGAGGATGGCAGGTGAGTCCCGGTTTCTAAAAGAAAATGCTGGAGTCCATTGGCATCCCCCTGCCCCCCAATAAGCTGCCCCCGGTCCCCAGAGTCCCTGCATGCAGCAGCCTGACACGGCCCATCTTTGACTCCTTCTCCTCCAGGGCCAGGCTGTGACAAAGGTCAGGAGGCCGTGAAATTTCTCAGGGGAACAAATTTCCATTTCTGTCAACTGCATTTAGGCAGCTCCATCCAGAGAAAATAAAAACAAAGGGTCACGCTCCTTCCCCAATTTGGCACACTGTCCATTTTCACGGGGAGTCCACACCAGGAATGGCAAGATAGTGAGTCCTGAGCACTGGTTAATCTAATATTTTACTTTACAGTTATTAGAATTATGAAAAGCCAGCATTTGTTGGATAGGCTGCCCTGATTTCTTTTTTTTAAGTGATAAGGTCTGGCTCTGTTACTCAGGCTGGAGTGCAGTGGTGCAATCGCAGCTCACTGCAGCCTCGAACTCCTGAACTCAAGCCATTCTCCCACCTTGGCCTCCCTAGCAGATGAGACGACAGGCACACACCACCATGCCGTTAATTTTTAAATCTTTTTTAGAGATAGATCTTGACATGTTGCCCAGTCTGGTCTTGAACTCCTGGCCTCAAGCAATCCTCCTGCCTTGGCCTCCCAAAGTGCTGGGATTACAGGCATGAGCCACCACAACAGGCCTGATATTTTATTCTTGAAAGGAAGATTTCACACTAGTAGCAGTCACCTCATAAAAAAGATAATTTTTTTTTCTGGCCTGGCCTATTTCACCTCCTTATGGACAATTTTCCTAGCCAGAAAGAAAGAGATTTAAAAGGTGGATTTTTTTTTTCTAAGCATCCTGAACAGAAGCCAGAGACCTGGACTTCTCTCAGCTCTGGTCACAAGGAGAGGAGAGCAGGGATGGAAGCCACATTGAGAGTCCTGGGGTACCTGTGTGGTTGCCAATCCCAGTTGGGCCAATTACTATCTGTGTGTAACTTCAATGGTCCTCAGTTTCCCCACTTGTAAAATGAGGATACAAATAAAGTTGTCTGAGGATTGAATGAGAGTGAAGGCAAAGTGCCTCACATGCGGTAGGCATTCATTATGATGCAGAGTTTTCACACGTGGGGGTTATTTTGGCTTCTGACATCAGCGTCTTCCTTGTTTCTCTACAAGCCAATCAACACCCTTGCTTCAGGGCCACCTCCCCTGGGAAGCCCTCATTGACTTGATTTTCTCAGCCTGCAATCATCTTTGTCACCTGTGAATCTCTGTACACTACTTAAGGCTCAACTATAAACTCTAGATAAGTCTCTAGATTAGGCTTGATATAGGAGTTAAAAAGAAATTACTTAGGCAGATAGGGTACAGAAGTCCTCGGTAAGGTTTTCCTTTTAATGAAAATCAGCCCCAAATCATTTTCTTTTCTAACAAAGAGCAGCCTGTAAAATCGAGCGGCAGACATAGATGCCGGCCGTTGTGCCAATCATGTTCAAGATGGTGGCTCCATCTCCCCTTCTCTTTGTCAGACACGTGTACAGTAAGGAGCAGACAAGATGGCGCCAGCCAAGGGGAGGGGCCATTTGCATAGTAAGATTAGAGTGGGTTGGGCAGCCTTCCCCAAATGCTATGTAAACGTCACACCTGATCCAGCCAATCTGCGGTCCCTACCTAAATCAGACACCACCTCCACAAGCCTGCCTATAAAATCTGGCAAACTCCACTACAGGCGGGTCTTTCCTTTTGGAAGCCTCTCCCTCTCACTAGAGAGCTGTTCTGCTTTCTCTTTCTTTTGCCTACTAAACCTCTGCTCTTAAACTCCTCATGTGTGTCCGTGTCCTAAATGTTCTTGGCACAAGACAACGAATATCCCAAGTATTTACCCCAGACAAGGAAGTCACTTCAGTCTCACCTCCCCAGCTAGACCAGAAGTGTCTCTGGAGCAGGGCTAGGATCGCGGGGGAGGCTCTAGGCAAGAATCTCTGTGCCTCTTTCAGGTTCTGGTGGCTCTGAGTCCTGTGGCTTGTGACTGCATCACTCTAATCTCTGTCTCCATATTCACATGGCCTTCTATCTCTTATAAGGACACTTATTTTTTAGGGCCCACCTCAGTAATCCAGGGTGATCTCATTTCAAGATGCTTAATTTAATTACACCTAGAAAGGCCTTTTCTATAAGGTTGTTTTTACAAGTCCTGGGGGTTAGGACATGGACATACCTTTTTTCTCAGAGGGAAACACCATTCAACCTCTGTGGCTTCTCATAGCATCTTAAACCTTTCCATCACTCCTCTAACCCCAGCTGGCAATTTTATATTTATTTGTGAAACTATTTGGCAATGCCTGTATCCTTAGGAAGCTGCAGATAACAAGAGGACAAATTCCACATCTGCACTGCTCACCACTCTACCCCCAGCACACAGTAGGTGCCTAGAATGTGTTTGTGGAACAAACGGACAGCTGAGCCCGGAGCTCCTGGAGAATGCTTCTTGTCAAGGACACCATGCAGGCAGCCATGAGCAAGGCCTTCAGTGAGCAATGTGCTCAAGACTTTACGGCCTCGTAAATCCCATGGCTGGTGGCATGATTAGAACTAAGTAAAAATGCAAGCAATTTAATTTCCCAGTGCACAGCCTGCAGAGCCTTGTAAACTCACCCCCTAAACCAGTAGCCATAAACGTTTGATAAAACACCATGTGGCTTCCTGTTTCCCAGAAATAGTTCCTGGGCCCAAGGAAGAAGCGACATCCAGCCCCCACTTGAGGTTACGTGAGCACTGTAATTAATGTTTGATAGAGGGCTTCCTAATGGCCTGAGCTCTTGGTGGCCATATCAATAATGATGACATTCACCCTGCCAACCTGCTGATGAGTCCAGTCCAGGGAGGAAAAGAAAGGAAAATCTTAGAAGCAGGCTTCAAACACATTACAGGGTAAAATTACGTGGCAGTGGATTTGTGCAATGCTCTGAGTTTTTCATCCCATATCCGTGTCTTTGATCTCACTTGATCCATGCATTGGGTCTGAGGGAAGAACAAAGCAGGAACTGCCAACTCTATTAAAGGGAAGAGGAAAAGTATAATAGCATCTGCCACAAAAGTAGCCAAGAAAGGGACCTTTCCCAAGTCATGCAGCTCATAAAAGCCTCGGGACCTGAACCGGGCTCTTGGGACCTCTGACTCTTTTCACACCATTAGTGGTAGTAGTGGGAAAGATACTACCATGGCAACCCTGCCTACACAGCAGCAGGAAGGAGGGAGGCCAACTTCCAAGAAGACCTTCCTGACCATGAATATTCTATGACACTAAATCATCTTACCTGGTAAGCTCACAGATTGCAAAATCCTCCTCTTCTGCAAGGTTTAGGAGAAGAGAACTTGTTTTAGGACTAACTGCAATCCTGGCCAGATGAAAGAGTCACCTGGAACTCCTTGATCCGTGGTAGAGACCAGCACTTCTCAAATTTCAACGTGCACACAATCAGCTGGGGACCTTTTTCACATGAAGTTTCCATTTCAGTAGGTCTGGGGCAGGGCCTGAAATTCTCTTTCTAGCCAGCTCCCAGGTGATGCTGATGCTGCTGGTCTCTAGACCACATATGAGTGATAAGTGGTGAACAATCTACTAGGATGCTACACGCTTGGTAGCGTCATGGTTGGGTAAAAGTCCTTCTTGTGTAGCATTGGGTTTGAGTCACTCAGAGAAGCACTGTTGATACAGTGCCCTCCTCCTCAGATGATTCATACTCAGGGACTTTGGGCAAATGGCCCCCATCTTCTCAAGGCTCAGTTTTCTCATCTGTAAAATGCAGAGTTGGGCAGAAGATGCATAAGATCTGAGCTTTTGTCTGGCCCTAACATCCCAGGACTCTAGAATTGAAAACCATGGAGAGCCCCTGAGCTACTTCATAAGATCCATCCATAAGATCCCAGCCTGGCCCTGGAGGTGAACGTCCATTCTTCATGTCTGCTCAGCGCCCACTCCCCAGTCCTCTGGCTTCAGGGCCCCATTTCCTGTGCAGCACCTCTACCTCTCTTACTTGGTGGTGTTTGGATGGGGCTAACCCTCCTCTCAACTCCAAGGTGAGCACATGTCCCAGGCATAGTCAGTCAATCAGAGTGGTTCAGGGGTGAGCATGTGACTCAAGCTAAGTCAATGAAATTCAGCCATGAGACTTTTGCTAGAACATCTGCAGAGAAAGTGCTCCCTTTCTGCCAGTGTTGCTAAGCTGGTAGGATAAAGATCTGATACAACTGGTGATCATCTTCACCATCATGTGGGGAGAGGCTGCCTGAGAGCACAGGTCAACCTAGAGGAAGGCAGAGATCAGAGACAGAGACTGAGTCACAATGCCATCTGATGGACACCTGGATTCAGCCATGCCTGAAGCCAGCACCCTAGATTTTTCAGCCCCTTGAGCCAGAAAATTATCTTACTTCAGCCAATTTGAGCTGAGTTTCTAGGGCTTTCACTCAAAAGAATTCTGATTCACACACTCTGGATTCTGTCCCTAAAATGAAGACAGGAAATTAGAGGAAAATCGTTTATGCTCAGACACACAAGGACATTATTGGCTTCAATAAATTCCAGAATGTCAGGGCCGGCAGAGGCACCTCATTTTACAGAGGAAGAAACGGGGGCCAAGAGAGTGACCTTCCCATGAATACCCAATACAGGGGCCAAACCAGGACTTATAACCCACATCAGATTTCTTTTCCTTACATGCAGGCAACAAACGTATCCAGGTAGATGACCTGACTTAAGGGAAAACAGTACTCCCCAAACACATACCAGACCAAAATGACCTCCCCACTTCTCATCACACTACCTGAAATGCCACCATTAGAGACTTATCCCACACTGTCTGCTGCCTCCAAGATGCATCTAACAAATGTAGAAACCCAGGGAAGGAATTTACTGTTTAAGCTTATTTATAGAATTATACAGTAAGAGTTGTTGTGAATGATCATTGGGTAACTTTACAGATGGGGAAACTGAGGCTAGGAAAGGAAATGTGACTCATCTTCCCACTTTCATAGAGAGATCTGTCTACAGTGGTCTGAAAGCAAAGCTGCCATGCTGCTATGGTCTCAAGGGTTATGTTCCCCCAAAATTCCTATGTTGAAATTCTCACCCATAAGGTGATGACATTAGGAGGTAGGGCGTTTGGGAGGTGAGTAGGTCATGGAAGAGGAGCCCTCATGAATGGGGTTATGTGCCCTAATGAAAGAGCACTGAGGCTGGATGCAGTGGCTCATGCCTGTAATCCCAGCACTTTGGGAGGCTGAGGCGGGCAGATCACTCGAGGTCAGGAGTTTGAGATCAGGCTGGCCAGCACCATGAAACCCTGTCTCTACTAAAAATATAAAGATTAGCTGGGCATGGTGGTGGGTGCCTGTAATCCCAGCTACTCAGAAGGTTGAGGCAGGAAAATTGCTTGAACCCAGGAGGTGGAGGTTGCAGTGAGCCGAGATTGCACCACTGCACTCCAGGCTGCGTGACTGAGGGAGACTCCATCTCAAATAAATAAGCGAGCACTGAGAGATCTCTCACCCCTTCCTCCATGTGAGGACACAGCTAGAAGGCACCATCATCTATGAACCCTCACCAGAAAACAACTCTGCCCACACCCTGATCGTGGACTTTTCAGCCCATAGAACTGTGAGAAATAACTTTCTGTTGGTTATAAGCCACCTAGTTTATGGTATTTTTTTCTAGCATCCTGGCTAAGACATGAGTCTTTGGGAAGGACACCCAAGGAGAAGAGGGAGGTGGGAAGAGCCCAGGGCCAAAGGATGCTGACTTCCCTTTTTTTTTTGGAGATGGAGTTTCACTCTTGTTGCCCAGGCTGGAAATGCAACAGTGTGATCTCGGCTCACCGCAACCTCCGCCTCCCAGGTTCAAGCGAGTCTCCTGCCTCAGCCTCCCAAGGAGCTGGGATTAGAGGCATGCGCCACCACGCCCAGCTAATTTTATATTTTTTAGTAGAGACGGTGTTTCTCCATGTTGGTCAGGCTGGTCTCAAACTCCCGACCTCAAATCATCCGCCCGCCTCGGCCTCCCAAAGTGCTGGGATTACAGGTGTGAGCCACCACGCCCAGCTAGGACGCTGACTTCTCTAATCTACCTGACCGACGGGCCAGCTGGGAGCACACGGATCTCAAATCTGACCGGGACACAGGCTCTAGACCACACTCAGCTTCCTTTAAGAGTCTAGAGAACTGGCAAGCTCTGTTCACTCTTTCTCTGTAGTGAGAAGGGAAGAGAACCTCATATTTTGCCCAGAAGGTACAGTTGTTGACATCTCTTTATATTATTAGAGAAAATGCCCAGCCAAGAAATAAACCACCAGTTTTATTTACAGTATATTTCCCAGAACTCAGAGAAACATTGTGCTTTTTTACGTAGGCCTAAAAGCAAAGTGTAATTTATGACAATACATCAAACTTTACAGTACATAAAACTCTCCCTACCTTATAAAAACATATAAAGAATTGCTCACTCTTTACATAAATTACTTAAGAACATCCTGGGTTTACACATCATGTTGAAAGAATTCACATTACGGGGAAGAGCTATTGCTACCAGTGGCGATTTTTGCAGTGGTTTAGGGAACAATTAGAATGGGAAACACAGAAATTGTAACAAAGTACTCTATGGGAAAGAAACTCATCCCAGAACGGCTTGGTGTAGATGAAATTAGTCACTTCCTTATTGAACTTCAGCTTTTCAAGCTCTGCAACAAAACCAAGGACAATATTTTAAACCAGGGGTCCTAACCCCCAGGCCATGGACCGGGACCGGTATCAGTCCGTGGCCTGTTAGGAACCAGGCTGCACAGCAGGAGGTGAGTGGTGGGTGAGTCAGCATTACCTCCTGGGTTCCGCCTCCTGTCAGATCAGCAGCGGCATTAGATTCTCAGAGGAGCGTGAACCCTATTGTGAACTGCGCATGCGAGGGATCTAGGTTGTGTATGCCTCATGAGAATCTAATCATTTTCATCATTTTCATCCCGAAACCATGCCCACCCCCAACCCCACCCACCGTCCGTGGAAAAATTGTCTTCCACAAAACCAGTCCCTGGTGCCAAAAAGGTTGGGGACTACTGCTGTAAAGAGCCTAAGGGCAGGAATCTTATCTAGTTTCACTCACTGTTGTATCCCTGACACATAGTAAGTGTTCAATACTATGGGCTGGAGAGAGAGAGGTGGGGAGGAGAGAGGAGGAAAGAGGGGGTGGCATACAGCATGCAAATGTATCAGTTATCTACCACCACAATAATACTGTATAACAAACTACCTCCAAAGGCTCAACTTCAAACTATTCCTTTTATTACTGCTTACAAGTGGGTAGGCTGCCTGGCAGTTCTTCCAGCCCCAGCTGAGCTCACCCACATGTCTGGAGGTCTGCTGGTTGCTGGCTGATGGCCTCAGTTGGGTCAACCAGACTCTCTCCCATCTGTCTCTCTCTCCCATGCATGTCTTTCCTATTCCCCCAGCAAGCTGGTCTGGGCATGTTTTCCAGCTAGCCTGGGCACATTCTTACGGTGGCTGCAGAGATCCAAGCAAGCAAGTGGAAATACACAAGCACTTTCTCCAACCTCTGCTTGCATTATGTTTGCTAAATGCCATTGGCCAAAGCAAGTCACATGCTCAAGCCCAGAGCCAGAATAGGGGGCTAGGGGATTAAGAGTTATTAGACAGAGGGCATAGCTATAGGGAGAAATTAACTGGAGCTATTAATGCAACCAGCCTACCACAAGAATGATACCCAATTCCCACCAGCCCCTACCCTCACCCCAAGCCCCACTCCACATTCGATTATCTAAAGCCCACGCAAAAAGAATAGAAAACAAGATTCTACTGACTCCTTTCTCCATATGGGAAAAGTGAGAGCGCTAAGTCAGGCTCTTCAATTAGTCATATTTATTTAAACCAGCAGTTGCAAATCTTAATACCTGCAGGGAATAGGCAGGTAATAAATTACTGAATCAGACCAGGCAAGGAACAGAGGGCACCAAGAAACACTTCCCCTCTCTCCCCAGGGGTGGTAGCTACACAGCTCAAGCCAATAGACACCTCACAAGAACGCAGGCCCAAGCTGCCGCCTCATCTAATTATTTCAAGAGAAGCTGAAAATATGCATTTTTCAGTGAAATCATATTTAAAAGTTAGCCACCAATTAAAAAATAAATCAGCACAAGCCAGGTGTGGTAGTTCATGCCTGTAATCCCAGCACTTTGGGAGGCCAAGGCAGGTAGATTGCTTGAGGCCAGGAATTTAAGACCAGCCTGGGCAACATGACAAAACTCTGGCTCTAAAAAAAATACAAAAAGTAGCCAGGCGTGGTGGTATACACCTGTAGTCCCAGCTACTTGTGAGGCTGAGGTGGAAGGATGGCATCAGTCCAGAAAATGGAGGTTGCAGTGAGTCATGATCCCACCACTGCACTCCAGCCTGGGTAACAGTCAGTCCAGGTCCAAAAAAATATATCCATGAGGCAGAGCCAGTTTTTAGGGCTGAGTGTACTAGCTCTGATTTTAAACACCGCACTTGGGATCTTGGACCCTGTCTTGAGCTTATTGATTTTACTTCACCATGGATGAGAGAAAATGAAGGCAGAAACTGTGTCTGTCTTTTTTAGCACTCTGTTCCCAGCCTAGAACAGTACCTGGCATATAATATTGGTTGGAAGAAAGGAAAAAAAGAAGGGAGGAAGAGAGGGTAGAGGGGTGGAAGGGGAGGGGAGAAATTAACATTTATGAAGTATCTATTTGCATTAGGAAGCATTTTATACACATATTCTCAATTGAATTGTGTTATCAGCAAAATTCATCTGTTGAAGCCCTAACGCCCAATGTGACTACATTTGGAGATGGGGCCTTTAAGGAGGTAATTAGCATTGAAGGAGATCATAAGAGTGAAGCCCTAATCTAATAGGACCAGTGTCCTTATAAGAAGAAAGAGAGATACCAGATGATATGGTTTGGCTGTGTCCCCACCCAAATCTCGTCTTGAATTGTAGCTCCCATAATTCCCATGTCCTGTGGTAGGGACCCGATGGGAGATAACTGAATCATGGGGGCGGTTTCCCCCATACTGTTCTCGTGGTAGAGAATAAGTCTCATGAGATCTGATGATTTTATAAGGGGTTTCCCCTTTCACTTGGTTCTCATTCTCTCTTGCCTGCTGCCA
The DNA here is from genome assembly GCF_000001405.40 of Homo sapiens. NCBI lineage: Eukaryota > Metazoa > Chordata > Mammalia > Primates > Hominidae > Homo > Homo sapiens. The sequence goes on from NC_000012.12 coordinate 108,485,414, forward strand.
TGTAAGACATGAGTTTCACCTTCTGCCGTGATTGTGAGGCCTCCCCAGCCACGTGGAACTGTGAGTCTATTAAACCTCTTTCCTTTATAAATTACCCAGTCTTGGGTATGTCTTTATCAGCAGCTCGAGAACGGACTAATACACCAGACATCCCTCCCCCTCCCCATGTGCACACAAAGGAAAGACCATGTGAGACACGGCGATAAGACAGCCATCTGCAAAACCAAGGAGGCAAGCCTCACCAGAAACCTATCCTGTCAGCACCTTGATCCTGGATGTTCCAGACTCCAGACTGTGAGAAGATAAATTTCTGTTGTTTAAGCCACCCAGTCTCTGGTATTTCGTTATGGCAGCCTGACCAGACTAATGCACCATCTCATCCAATTAAAAATATAAAACAAAGACATTGAAATGCCCAAATTCCCAACCCACAGACAAACACTTTACATTTGTGTATTATTTTACAATTTACAAAGCCCTGAGGCAAGGGAACAAATTATTGCCTCCATTTTTCAGATGAGAAGACTCGGGCTCAGAGGGGCCGGGAGACTTGCCCAAGGTCACACTGTGAGAAAAGAATACCAAGCCAGATCCAGATTTTGAGAGCACAGACTTTAAGAGCTCTCTTTCCAGGACATCCCAGCATCTCCCACCTTAAACCAGGTCTCCAGTGGGCAACATTGGCACTCTGCCCAGATCCACTCAGATTCTCTGTGACCTTTTCTGGATGTCCTACCATTGACCCCAGTGTGCATTTACCTTCAACAACCAGCTTCCAGACTCTTCTTTGGAGCACTGTCCTTGGCCACTGGAGGCTCTCCACTGGCACCTACAGAAGGCCAGAAATGCCTGAGCATTTCTCCCAGGCAGCCCTTATCCAATGAGTGATGGGTGCACATGTAAGAAATCCAGCTCCCTTTGCTAAGCGTGGACTAACTCTGAGATGTAACTCACACTCCAAGGTGTCCCCTGTGGAATCAGGCTGAGGCCGCCTTTCATAGGATTTTGTTTGAGATTGCACGCTACTTGGTTTCCTCCTCTTTCCTGCCCTGCTTCCACCACTCCTTGACCTATTTTCCATGGAATACATAAATCCTTGCCTCAGGGTCTTCTTCTGAGAAACCAACCCAAAACCAAGTTCCTTTGAAGACTCATGTCCCACAACAAGGCTGGTTTTCTGCCCAGGGTCCTGGTACAGTGGGAGGAAGGCAGTGCCCAGAGCCTAACAGAAGATCACAGCTCTGGGGAGGACCCAAAGGAAGCAGATGTGTAGCTCCTGGAACATCTGGGAGAGGAGCAGGAATGGAGACCCTTGTGGCAATGGAGGAGGATAAGAGGATGAAGCCCTTCGGCCTTCTTTGGCTTTTATTATTATTGTTACACAATTTATATATGTTCAGTGTACAAAAATGTCTCAAGGCAGATTTTGTGTGTGTGTGTGTGTAAATTTATTTATTTATTTTTATTATACTTTAAGTTCTAGGGTACATGTGCACAACCTGTAGGTTTGTTACATATGTATACATGTGCCATGTTGGTGTGCTGCACCCATTAACTCATCATTTACATTAGGTATATCTCCTAATGCTATCCATCCCCCCTCCCCCCACCCCACGACAGGCCCGGTGTGTGATGTTCCCCCTCCTGTGTCCAGCTGTTCTCATTGTTCAATTCCCACCTATGAGTGAGAACATGTGGTGTTTGGTTTTTTGTCCTTGCGATAGTTTGCTGAGAATGATGGTTTCCGGCTTCATCCATGTCCCTACAAAGGACATGAACTCATCCTTTTTTAGGGCTGCATAGTATTCCACGGTGTATATGTGTCAAGGCAGATATTTTTAAAAGATAACCCAAAGATAAAATAAGCAGTCAGCATATTGAAGAAAAGACTCCCTATTCAATAAATGCTGCTGGGATAACTGGCTATTACATGCAGAAGAATAAAACTGGACCCCTTCCTTTCACCATATACAAAAATTAACCAGAGATTGATCAAAGATTTAATGTAATACCTCAAACTATAAAAAAAGAGCTTTTAAGCTGGAGGCATCACATTACCTGACTTCAAACTATACTTTAAGGCTACAGTAATCAAAACAGCATGGTACTGGTATAAAAATAGACACATTAACCAATGGAACAGAATAGAGAACCCAGAAATAAAACTGTATACCCACAACCATCTGATCTTTGACAAAGTCAACAAAAATAAGCAATAAGGAAAGGACTCCCTATTCAATAAATGCTGCTGGGATAACTGGCTATTCATATGTGGAAGAATGAAACTGAACCCCTTCCTTTCACCATATACAAAAGATGGATCAAAGATTTTTTTTTCTTTTGAGACAGAGTCTCACTCTCTTGCCCAGGCTGGAGTGCAGCAACGTGATCCCCGCTCACTGAAAGCTCCGCCTCCCAGGTTCAAGTGATTCTTATCCCTCAGCCTCCTGAGTAGCTGCAATTACAGATGTGCACCACCATGCCCAGCTAATTTTTGCATTTTTAGTAGAGATGGGATTTCACCATGTGGGCCAGGCTGGCCTTGAACTCCTGACCTCTAGTGATCCACCCACCTAGGCCTCCCAAAGTGCTGGGATTACAGGTGTGAGCCACCGTGCCTGGCCAGATCAAGGATTTAAATGTAATACCTCAAACTACAAAAATCCTAGGAGAAAACCTAGGAAATAATCATTCTGGACATCAGCCTTGGCAAAGAATTTGTGGCTGAGACCTCAAAAGCAATTGCAACAAAAACAAAACTTGACAAGTGGGACCTAGTTAAACTGAAGAGCTTCTGCATAGCAAAAGAAACTCTCAACAGAGGAAATAGACACTCTATAGAATGGAAGAAAATATTCATAAACTATGCATCCAACAAAGGTCTAATATCCAGAATTAATAAGGAACTTAAATCAACAACCAAAACCAAATAATTCCATTTAAAAGTGGGCAAAGGACATGAACAGTCACTTCTCAAAAGAAGACAGACAGGCAGCCAACAAACATAAAAAAAAGCTCAACATCCCTAATCATCAGCGAAATGCAAATCAAAACCATCTCATACCAGTTAGAGTGGTTATTACTAAAAAGTCAAAGAGTAACAGATGTTGATGGGGCTGCAGGGAAAAGGGAATGCTTACACACTGTTGGTAGGAATGTTAAGTTAGTTCAACCACTGTAGAAAGTAGTTTGGAGATTTCTCAAAGAAGTTAAAACAGAACTACCATTTGACCCATTCTCATTACTGGGTATAAAACCGAAGAAAAATAAATCATTCTGCCAAAAAGACACATGCACTTGTATGTTCATCACACCACTATTCATAATAGCAAAGACATGGAATCAACCTGTATGCTTATCTACGGCGGACTGGATAAAGAAAATGTGTGCAGGCGCAGTGGCTCAGGCTGGGCCCGGCAACTCATGCCTGTAATCCCAGCACTTTGGGAGGCCAAGATGGGTGCATCACTTGAGCCCAGGAATTCAAGACCAGTCTGGGTGACATGGTGAAACCCTGTTTCTACAGAAAATACAAAAATTAGCCAGGCATGGTGGTGCATGCCTATAGTCCCAGCTACTCAGGAGGGTGAGGTGGGAGAATCATCTGAGCCTGGGAGGTCGAGGCTGCAGAGAACCAAGATCATGCCACTGCACTCCAGCCTGGGTGACAGAGCAAGACCCTATCTCAAGAGCAAGAAGAAAGAAAAGGGAAGAGAAGGAAGAGAAGGAAGGAAGGAGAAGGGAAAGAGGGAAGGAGGGAGGGAGGGAATGAGGGAGGGAGGGAGGTACAGAAAAGAAAAGAAAATGTGACACATATATACCATGGAATACTACACAACCATAAAAAAGAACAAAATCATGTCCTTTGCAGCAACGTGGATGCAGCTGGAGGCCATTATCCTAAGCAAACTAATGCAGGAACAGACAAGCAAGTATTGCATGTTCTTACTTGCAAAGGGGAGCTAAACATTGGGTACACATCGACATAAAGATGGCGATAATAGACACTGGGGACTACCAGATAGAGGAGAGAAGGAGAGGGGCAAAGACTGAAAAACTAACTGTTGGATACTATGTTCACTACCTGGGTGACGGTATCAATCATACCTCAAACCTCAGCATCACACAATATGCCAATGTAACAAACCTGCACATGTACCGACTGAATCTAAAATAAAAGTTGAAATTAATTTTTTAAAAGAGCTTTTACAATTCATAAAAATTGCAGAAATCTAACAGAAAAAAAGAAGTCAAGGGAAAGACATTAATAGGCAATTTCAGAAGTATAAAAATGGCCTCTAAACTAGTCATCAAAAATCTACAAATTAAAACTGTGAAGTGCTTTTTCCCTCATTTATGTGTCAAAATTTTAAAGGTTAATAATATTCAACGTTGGAGAACTCATGGAATGCAAATTCCTGCAGCAGCTTTGTAGGGCAATTTGGCAATCACTATCAAACTAGTAAACGGGCAAACCCTTCAATCCAGCAAGAACACTTCAGGGAATTTATTCTCCAGAATAATTTTCACAACCTAAAAAGTTTTAGGTAAACCGGGTGTGATGGCTCATGCCTGTAATCCCAGCACTTTGGTAGGTGGATCACCTGAGGTCAGGAGTTTGAGACCAGCCTGGCCAACATGGTGAACCCCGTCTCAACTAAAATACAAAAATTAGCCAGGCATGGTGGCAGGTGCCTGTAATCCCAGCTACTCGGGAGGCTGAGGCACGAGAATCACTTGACCCTGAGAGGCAGAGGTTTCAGTGAGCAGAGATCATGTCACTGCACTCCCGCCTGGGCGATAGAGCAAGACTCCATCTTAAAAAAAAAAAAAAAAAAAAAAGTTTTAGGTACAAAGATGTGCATTGCAGCACCATTCATAATCATGAAAACTGGAAACTGTTTTACTGAAAGCAGTGTCTTTCCTGTGGGTCATTGATTTAGGAACATGCTCTCAGGGAGCAGGAACGAGGGCATGAAGGGGGAAGAGGGAAAAGCCAACACAAGCATGAAATATCTAGTTGGCCACTACCACCTGTAATTGGGTGCGCCATCTATGGGATCTTTCAAAGAGATGGTGAAATGCATGTCAGAACTGTCCATCTAAGGGGAGCAGGGAAACACACTATCCATCAGCTCCTGTCTCCTATTGGTCAGGACCACCCAAGGGGCAATGGCTCCTTCCAGCTTCAAGGTACTGAGTGCAGAGGTTGCAATCAGATTCCCAGTGGAATTCCACATTGCAGCATCTGAGAAGCCCCATGGAGGGGGCAACTGAACAGAGTTAACTGAAGCCTGCTCAGAAATGTTCGGCACAGACGTGGCTAGGATAAGAATTATGACTTCATATCATGAACCAGAGTAACCTGGCCTTCCATGCTGACTAACTTTGACACAGGGACTGACCATAGTACATGGTTATCCTTAGCTCTCTGATGGCTTGTCAGTGAAGAAGCTACCTCCTATGGACAAGGGCCCCTGTCATGGAAGGGCTGTGGATCTACTCAGCTGAAAAACACAATGCCTGCTGGTGGCCTCTCCGCTCCATAGAGGGGCAGAATCTTTCTCTCCTGCATTGAGGTCCAGGGTGCTCCACTGTCTTAAGTGATTAAGATTATAGCTATGCAGCTGTATCACTACTTTTCTTTTCTCCAAATGGGCTTCTTTGATACCATCACCTCTTCCACCAAGTTTCTCTCATTTCCTTGAACTACTGCAGAATGAGATGTAATCTTAGGTTTTTCCCCTTCCGCTCACCCTAAAACAAGCATAAAAGTCTTCTTAATGCCTTTGTGCTTGCTAATACCCCAGGAGGAACTGTAGTGGACACTGTGATCTTGGTCTTCCCAATAGGCTCTTTCCTTGGAAATGCCCTCCTTATTCTATGTGCTTCTAGTGGAGCTGTCAATCACAGCTTCTATAACAACAAGTGTGGTCTATTAGAGAACCCTACCCTCCAGGCCAGGCTGGTTCAGAGGTAGGCATGTGTCTCAAGCAGGGCCAGTCAGAGTTCTTCCACAGTAATCCTCTGCTGGAGCCATGGAGAAGACTATATTTTGCCTCTGGGGTCATAATGTTGGAATTTTGGTCTGCCAGCCACATGTTTCTGCCACTCAAGAGAAATCTTAAATAATAAAATCAACACGCAAACAGAGCCAAGAAATGGAGAAAGAGTCCCAAATACATTGTTTGATCCGTGGCTTCTGTTGTGCCTATCAATATCTTCATGCCTATCCTCTTAGACATATAAACTAATAAAAACAGTTTAGGAGCTTTAGCTAGTTTGGCTGAATTTTTGTCATTTGCAACAAAAAAAGTTAAACAAAAATAGATTGGGGAATTGGGGTAATGGAAAGAAGGTGAACAAGATTTCAGGACCTCTTCAAAGACCTAGACAATGTCTTTCTCTGATCTTCACAGACATATACATGGAGCTGGATCTGAAATCCTGCCTTATTCAGCTCAGCCCTTTGGTCAAGTCTTGAGAGGAAGTCCCCTTTCCATTTTCATCTGTGAAAGTAAAATTCATCATCTTACTTTTTCCTACTTTCTTGTAATGGAGAGGAAAAAAATATGAATACAATATCATGGTGGATTCCCTAAGGACTCAAGTGAAATGACTGATATCTTACATGAAGCTCTTTGTCTTCTGGCTTCATGCCCTAATACCATCTTAGGGATTTCCCTGGAAATGTATCCATTAATTTTATAAGTACTGTACTGGCTTCAAGAATGGCCTTGATCAGATTTCATCAAAAATAATAATTATTATAGCAGCTAATATCTATTGAGCATTTACTACGTATCAGGAACTATGCTAAGCATTAGCACACTTGTCATAGCAACACTGGTAGCAAGTACCATTATTATTCCAGCAGTAGCATTCTATGGGATTGCCTCCCCAGTGCTCCCTTCTTCTCTCCCAATCTTATGTCTACAACAGGAGCAGCCACTTTACAATGTAATCCTACCCCTTGGCCACAGCTGATTGGTTCAAAGATGAGCACCTGATCCCAAACAGGCCAGTGATACCTTACCCTGAGAATTTTGAATGTGGCACGATGTCAAGTCAGACTCTCTCTGAATGGCTGATGTTACTTTCATATAAAAACCTGAAGCCACTGCATCCGTGTTTTCCATCCTGTACACTGAAGAGCAGAGAAAGTCGAGACTGCAGAGAAAAAAAAGAATGACATCAATGCCAAGAAATAGGCTGTGATAGGCAGTGGAGACATGTCTACAGATCTCTAGTCCTGCCTCCAGTTGGTAGAATCTAGATGCTTCCTTGTCATTCCCCTAGCTTGACTCTTCAACTCTTCTTTGTAGTCAGGAGCTTTCTAATAAATTACCTCTATTAATGTTGTTTATTCTAATTAACTTGGGTTTCTGTCACTTAGAATGAAAACATATTAACAAACACAATCTCATGCTCCAAAAGAGGGACTAAGCTCAAAGAAGTTATATACATTTCCCAAGAATACATGGCTGGAATTGGATTTAAATCTGGATTTACACGACTCTGGAGCACCTACTCTTCACAATTTACTATAATGAAAGTGGAGAAGTGACTTGGATTACAAGTGTTCATTCAGAATGGATGCTCTAAATCCAGAATCTGCTCTGAGCATTATAAACATAAGAATTCTGATCATCTTGAAGAGCTGCTCATGACCTGAGAGGATGTTAAGAGTGAGAACTATGTCAACAAGAATTTAGTCCCCATGGTGAGACTCTCATCAAAGAAGAGGCTCTGGAGCCCTCAAGTATTTCACTGGCTGAGTTAAGGAGCAGGGAAATCTTCTGAGAGAACCCTGGTGTGCTGACACTCCAGCCCTATATGTTGATTTGACTTGAAAACTATCCTGTCTAACAGTTGCTTGTGGAAAAACAACGTCAGATTCTCTGATTCCTCCCTCTCCTTTGCCACCACACCCATGCCCTGTTGGTTTTAGCTCCAAGGTAGACTTCACTCTATCTGCATTTCTCCATCTCCACCACTATGACTTGAGGCACCATCATCTCTCACCTCTACTCTTGCAGGAGCTTTCATTGGCCCCTATGCTGAGCATTCTCCTTTTTGGGCTCAGATCCAATCCCTACCCTTCCCAGTCTTGCTCTACATCCCAGGGAACCATATTTCCCAGGCTCTTCTGGCTTCCAGATAAATGCAACCATTGGGAGGCACCAGTGGGAGACTAGAGGGAGGGATGAAGAGAGAAACCAGGGCATCTCTGGCCCTCCACCTGTTTCAGGTGGAATCCCTGAGCAACATCCACACCTCCCCCAATGGTTTCACCTCCATGGTCCCAGCTCCAGCAGGGCAGCCCCAACCATGGTTCTCCTTCCTGCCAAATGGTTCCAGCTCCTGGGTTCTGATAACATCACCTCCCTACTTTGTCCATTTGGCCATAAGTAAAAAGAAGTCTTGATAGTAATCATTTCTGGGTCAGCTCCTTGTCCCCTATTTGACTTCTCAGCTGTTTTAACACTTGTATAACCATTTCCCCGTATTAAGTCCCCTCTGTTTGAAATACCTAGACCAGACCCTGACTGATGCACTTCCCTCTGATTCATATTCCACCCAACAGCCAGAGTAATGTTTTTCAAATATCAACTGAATCATATTACTCCTGCTTAAAACCACTCAATGGCTTCCCATCACTTTGAATAAAATCCAAATTCCTCACCACCAGGTCCCTCAAGACCTGTCCCCTGCCTGGCTTTCCACCCCATCTCACACACCTCTCTCCCCATCACCCTGCCTGCTTTCCAGCCCCTCTGGCCTTCAACCAGTCCTCCCACATGCCAAGCCTTTTTCTTCTCCCAGCCTTTGCACATGCTATTCCATCTGCCTGGCAGGCTCTCTTCCCTACTCTCAACCTGGCTCACTCACTTCTTTTACTCCTGTAAGTGCAGCATAAATGTCCCCTCTTCATAGAATCCCTCCACCACCACTGCCACCACTTCTTATACTTATTATTGCCTGCTGGCCTCACTAGGTTATAAGTCTACAGGGCAGACGCGTATCATGTTCATAGTTCTATATCCAGTGTGTCAGTCAGAGTTCTCCAGAGAAAGAGAGCCTACAGATTTAGGTAGCTATATAAGAGGAGATTTATTGTGGGATTTGATTCATATGATGATGCAGACTGAGAAGTCCCAAGATCTGCCATGCTGCAGCTTGAGAACCAGGAAAACCAGTGGTGTAATTCAGTCCAAGTTCAAAGGCCTAAGAACCAAGAGAGCTGATGGTGAAACTCCCAGTCCAAGGCCAAAGGCCTGAGAACTAAAGAAGAGGAGGGAAGAGGTAAGAGGTGGAACTGGTGTAAGCCTCAGAGTCCAAAGGCCCAAGAACCAGGAGTGCCAATGTCTGAACACAGGAGAAGATGAATGTCCTAACTCAAGAAGGAAAAAAGAGAATTTGCCTTTCCTCCAACTTTTTGCTCTATCTGGGGCCCTACAGATTGGATGATGCCCACCTACGTTGGGGAGGGCCATCTGCTTTACCCAGTGTATCAACTCAAATGCTAATCTCTTCCAAAAACACTCTCACAGATACACCCAGAAATAATGTCTTACTAGCTATCTGGGCATCCCTTACCCAATCAAGTTGACACATGAAATTAACATCACAGCCAGCCCTTGACCTGGCACATATTAGACACCAAAGATTTGCTGAATGAAAAAATCATCCAGTGAGATCATCTGGTTCAGTGGTCATCAAGAGGGGCTTATACTGCCCCCTGGAGGCTGTCTTGGGCTGGGTGCTCTAGAAGTGGACTATGATAATAATTTGTGTAAAAGTCATTTATTAGGGTGTATTCCCACAACAAACCAGTAGGCAAAGCCCCACAGAGGGCAACCTTCGCTCAATCCCTCATCTTAAATTTGACCAGGTCAAAGACTGGGGAGCTGGAGCACTCATCCCCCACCCACACACCTGTCAGTCATTGGTTAAGAGCTTCCCATTGGGTGGAGAATGAACATAGATTCCTAGCAAAGCAAGTTCTGGCAATCTGAAGACAGTACACCATGAAGAGACACAGGTGCTGGCATTTGAGGAGGGAGGGCACACTGACAGATCATGACTACAAAAACAGTGAAGGGATGCAGGGATATGAGTAGGGCACTAGCTGGGTTTGCTACAGATGCGTTTGGAAACGTGTGGTGGTGCTTTTTGGTTTTCAGTAATTTGAGGTGTGGCTGACATACAATGCCCAACGACCAGGCATGCTCAACATCATACACTACCTCACTCAGTCCCACCCAATAAAAAACTGTCCCATCCCAAATGTCAAAAGCGCCCCAACAGATGAACATTCATCTGCTTCCAATCTCTCACTTGACAGATGAGGAATTGAGGCCCAGAGAGGGAAAGTGACTTGCTCAGGGCAACACAGCAAGCAAGTCACAAAGATGGGGCTAGAATGCTGGTCTCTTCATAGCAGCCCTGGAATCTTAATTCCTCTTGAAACCTAAAAGAGAACATTCTAAACCCCAAAGTGCAAAGTCCCTTCTGGAATTCTAGAAGGGGGAGCCAATTCCCTCTCTACCCTGGGTGAAGTGGGGAGAAATCAAACTTGAAGACATCAGAGGCTACAGCCGAAAGCAGATGTGCAAACAAAGATAAGGGAGACAGTTTTCACCAGACAAATTCACGCCCTGCTCAGTTTAGACATTAAAATGAACTAACTTAATTTCATGCCATATGCAAATCCTTACCAGCTGTCAGCTCTGTAATCACAGGAGACTTAATGTAATAACTAAACAAGAACAAAAACGCAGCAAATACAGGCTCTGGGCAAGTCCATTGACAGCGGGTTTTATGTTCCTGAGAACTCAGCAAGTGCAGAGCGTTTATGGCGGACATCTGGAAGGAGCTATGTGCCCAAACGCCTGCCATCTCCTTCACAAAAATGCCTGCAGCGATAATAAATAATGGCTAAGAACTGATCTGGCCATTGCGTACCCTGATCTTCCATGTACTGTGAACATCTCCCTCTAGGCTCTACAGCTTTTCTCCAATTGTCAGGAGCCAGCTAGGTCCAGCCATCTGGACCGAGAGCTCAGAAGTAGCCAATAAATGTCTCAGGCTTCCTGAATTCAAGTCCCCCACCCGGAACCTAAGGGGTGGGAAGATGGCTGCTGCCTTGTAGTGGGGGGCTTCTCTGGCCAGAGGACCCCACATTCCTCCAATGGCCCAAGTTAACAGTCCTAATTGCAAACATCAAATGCTACTTACTGGGGGCCAGGAACCAAGCACACCACTTTCTGTGCATTATGTCCATGTTACCCAAGGTGTGGAGGATGATTTAAGGTCATTCATTCATTCATTCAACAAACAGTTATTAAGCACTTATCATGTGTCAGGCACTATGCTGGGAATATAGCAGCAAACAAAAATCTCTGTCCTCAGGAAGCTTCATTTCTCGTGGAACAAACATTTTTAAGTACAGTTAGGTTGTATGTTAGATAAAAACACTTGCAGCCAGGGATGGTGGCTCACACCTGTAATCCTAGCACTTTGGGAGGCTGAGGTGGGTGGATCACTTGAGGCCAGGAGTTTGACACTAGCCTGGCCAACATGGTGAAACCCTGCCTCTACTAAAAATACAAAAAATTAGCCAGGTGTGGTGGCGCACACCTGTAGTCCCAGCTGCTCAGGAAGCTGAGGCAAGAGAATTGCTTGGAAACCAGGAGGTGGAAGCTGCAGTGACCCGAGGTTTTGCCACTGCACTCCAGCCTGGGTGACAGAGTGACACCCTGACTCAAAAATAATAATAATCTCTGTACAAATGCTAGTATTATTATTATTATTACCAGTATGAGTGCTTCTAGCTACTTCCCCAGGAGCCACATATTAGGTATCATTACTAAGAGGCTCTCTCTGCAGTTTCTGAGGTTGTTTCGCTTCCCTTCGAATCAGAGTGCAAACTGCCATTTGCCCTCCCTTCAGGTTCCAACTGAGCCTCTCTGCTCCCCTCCCATTGAAAGTCAGAAAAGCCAGCACTTGAGATTTAACACTCTATCGCCTGCAATTAAATCCAGCCATATAAAGGGAAATGTCGAACAGCTCACTTTCTTGCAGCACATTGAGGTGCTGTGGCAAGAGCATGCAGGAATCCAGCCATAAACCCTTGACTCGTCCTCGCCTGGGAGTTTCTCTCTTTTACTCAGTTGGCTTCCCAGGTTCAGCTGGAACTCTGGGGAATACCCCAAGATGCATGCTAGGTACAGTGAGGGATAGCCACAGAGAGGGCTTTTATAAATGGAAGTTGTAAGGTTCAATAAGAAACTAATCAGCTCCCAAACAAAGTGAGCTTTTCATGCTTAAACAAGTGTTCCGGCCGGGCGCGGTGGCTCACACCTGTAATCCCAGCACTTTGGGAGGCCGAGGCAGGCGGATCATGAGGTCAGCAGATCGAGATCATCCTGGCTAACACAGTGAAACCCCGTCTCTACTAAAAATACAAAAAAATTAGCCAGGTGTGGTGGCGGGCGCCTGTAGTCCCAGCTACTCGGGAGGCTGAGGCAGGAGAATGGCGTGAACCCAGGAGGCGGTGCTTGCCATGAGCCGAGATCGCGCCACTGCACTCCAGCCTGGGCGACAGAGGAAGACTCCGTCTCAAAAAAAAAAAAAGTGTTCCATTCATACTGAAAATATCTGGGAGGTTTGCACTGTGTGCAAGATCTGCACTGGGGGCTGCCGACAAGGGCTGCCCTCTTGAGCCCATGGTATGCTGGGGAGGGAGACGTGATACAAGAATGTGATACAAGAGGGATGTATGCTCAGGGAAAGAGCAGCAGAGCATTCGGACCACACGGACAACGCCCTCACCTAGGGTCTGGTGAGCCCCAAGGAAGGAGCTGAAACCTCTATGAGCAAGACTTTGCTATGTGAAGCAGGATGTGGGAAAGAACATTCCAGGTGAAAGATCTCTGTGCGGCAGCCCTTTGGTGTAAAGAAAGCTGGATGGGCTGGGCGCGGTGGCTCATGCCTATAATCCCAGCACTAGGGAGGCCGAGGCAGGTGGATCGCTTGAGCCCAGGAGTTTGAGACCAGCCTGGGCAACATAGCGACATCTCCCATCTCTAAAAAAATATTTTAAAAATTAGCCGGTCATGGTGGTGTGTGCCTGTAGTCCCGGCTACTCAGGAGGCTGAGGCGGGAGGATTGCTTGAGCCCAGGAGTTCGAGGCTGCAGTGAGCTATGATCGCGCCACTACACTCCAGCCTGGGTGACAGAGCAAGACTCTGTTTCTAATAAAAGAAAGCTAGATGGTCCCAGATGTGCATCCAGTCCCTGGACTCTCTCATGGATTTTATTGCTATTGGACACCATCCCGCAGCACATCGTAGCTGCTCACAAGATATTTCTTGAGGTAGACTGGATAATCCAGGCACCTATCTTTTGTTCCTCCTAGAGTCTGAGGAACTCTAAGAGTCTTGGGAAGGAGGACATGAAACCAGAGGGCAAATATTATTCTGGATAACAATAATGACAACCGCTGAGATTTACTTAGCACTTGATCAGAACTTTACTTATATTAGATTTTTTTTTTTTTTTTTTGAGACAGGATCTCACTCTCTCACCTAGACGGGCATGCAGTGTTGCAATCAAAGTTCACTGCAGCCTTGACCTCCTGGGCTCAAGCGACCCTCCCTCGCATCTCAGCCTCCCGAGTAGCTGGGACTACAGGTGCGTGCCACCAAACCCGGCTTTTTATTTTTATTTTTTATTTTTGTAGACACAAGGTTTTGCTGTGTTGCCCAGGCTGGCGTTGAACTCCTAGCCTCAGGCAATCCTCCCACTTTGACCTCCAAAAGTGCTGGGATCACAGGCGTGAGCCACCATGCCTGGCCCCTTACATCATTAATCCTCGTAATAGGAGGATAAAGCAGGTCTTGTTATTGTCTCCATTTAAGAGAAGGAACAACCGAGGCACAGAGCAGTGGTGACTCTTGTATGAGGACACAGGGCAAGGAGTTTGCAGAGCTTCATCACTGCATCCCTGATGGTGGGCCACGTCACTCCTCAGGCAACTGCCTTACTGACTCTGATGATGGCCAGATCCCTACATTGGGGCTTTGAGGCCCTAAGATCTAACCCTTCCAGGCCATCTTTCTGATCACATCTCCCACCTGCTCCCCGTCCCTCACCCTCTCCAACCCCCTTTGGCTTCCTTGCCATTCCATAAATACACCATGAGCTCCTGCCTCAGGGCTTTTGCATGTGCTGTTCCCCCTGCAACACTCTTCCCTTCAGACATCCACATAACTCACCACCTCTATCACAAACCACTCCTCACCCTCTTCCCCACTTAATTTTTTCCACAGGGCTTGTCAGCCTCGAATATACCATATCATTTACCTATTTCGTTTAGTGTCTCTCTCCTCCACCAGAAAGTAAGCTGTGTGAGGGCAGGAATTGAGTCTGTTTTGTTTACTGCGGTTTCCCAGGGCCCAGGACGGGCTCTCAGTGGAAGCTTAAGTGAGCGTATTCTGTTGCAGTGCTTGGTACTATCACAAAACGCTCTCTCTAGAGGGAACACCAAGGCACAGCTGTAGCATGAAGTTGGTTAAGGTTTGGCAAAGTTTTCTGGGCACCCAGGTGAGAAGCCAAAACTGGAGGGGACGAGGAGGGACGAGCAGGGGGTTTTCAGGGGTTATCAGGCCAAATAACCAAGATGGGGAGCCTGGGCTGCCAAGTGGGCTATTACTTGTATTTTAGGGGGACACAGCCCCAAGGACAACACTGGGAAAGAGAGTGCCACCTTTTCTTCCAGTCACAGGGAAGACAACTGAACTATCCTCATGCTGCAGGCCAAAGAGATGCCTCCCATTTTCTGAACCTCTCACCTGGGAAGTAACCCATATTTTATTTAATCCTAGACCCAGATGTGCCAGAAATGATCAGAATTCCCAAGTGTCAGAGCTCCCTCCAAAGCCACCCCTTGCAGCATCTCAACCCTCTCCCAAAAATGGTTATCTGACCTGGAGCTGAGGACCCAGAGAGAGCTTGAGGGTCCCACTCTTCCTCCTCTGGCAGAGCCCACCGCAGGAGTGAGCCGTGGCTGGGCAGGGTGGGGCGGTAGACTCAGAGGTCTTTGCTCTGGGATCTGCAGAACATTTAGGGAGGCATCAGCTGCTGCTCCGCTTCCAAATAAAGCCCAGGTGCTTTTTCAAGCCTCTCTGAACCAGCACTTCTCAAACTTCATGTCAGCATTTCTTGAAGAGTTCCCAGGCCACAGATTCCTTGGGGTAGAAGAGAGGTAGAGGGAGAGACACTCATTTGGAACACCTTTTTGTATACCTCTGACTCCTAGAGTTATGGAAATATTTCACATGCCCAGAAAATCAATCAATAAATAATTAAAATCAACCAAGATGTGGGGGCTTCCCAAAGCGTGGTCTGTGGACCAGCAACTTCATTGGCCTCACCTGGGAGCTCGAACCCCTGGCCTTCATTTAAATTAATTAAATTTAGCCAGGCGTGGTGGTACACACCTATAGTCCTAGCTACTCAGGAGGCTGAGGCATGAGAATCACTGGAACCTGGGAGGCAGAGATTGCAGTGAGCTGTGATCGCACCACTGGGTGATCCAGCCTGGGCAACAGAGTGGGACTCTGCCTCAAAAAAAAAGAGCAAGAACTTTTTCTTTTGAAAAATTTAGACTCAAAAATTGAATACCTGGAGTTTTTCTGTGTCCTTTACCCAACGTTCCCTAATGTTGATATCTTGCATAACAACACAACAACTATCTAAACCAAGAAATGAACATTGGTGAATCTGTGGACATTCAAATTTCATCAGTTTTTTCCATTAATGAACACTTAATAAAAAAAACTAAATTTTTTTGACCATTTGCTGGTCCAGGATCCAATCCAGGATTCCACATTGCATGTAACTCTCCTACAGGACCATAATACAACCATCAAAATCAAGCAACGAACACTGATCTACTACCATGTTCTCCCCAGACCCCATTTAAGTTTCACCAATTGTTTTAATAAAGTTCTCTCTAGTAAAAGAATACAATTCAGAATCAGCCAAATACTTCATTGTCATATTTCCTCAGTGTCGTCCAATATGTAATAGTTTTGTCTTTTATGATCTCGATAACTTTTGAAAAGTACTGGCCTTTATTTTCTAGAATTTCATTCAACTTGAATTTGTCTGATGTTTTCTCATATTTAGCTTGAGTCACTGCACACCCAACATCAGAGACCAGTAAGCCACCAGCTGCCACGTGTTGAGCTGTATGTGTAGCAAAATCAGTTGTTTGCTGCCAAACCTATTTATGCCAGTTTCATTTGTAACTAGTTAAGTAGTATGTAGTAGGATTAAATAGGAGGGAAAGGCCAGGCACAGTGGCTCATGCCTGTAATCCCAGCACTGTGAGAGGCCAAGGTGGGAGGATCGCTTGAGCTCAGGAGTTTGAGACCAGCCTGGGCAACATGGTGAAACACTATCTCTACAAAAAATGCAAAAATTAGCCAGCATGGTGGTTCATGCCTGTGGTCCCAGGTTATCAGGAGGATGGCTGGAGCTCTAGAGGTCAAGGCTACAGTGAGCTGTGATTGCACCACTGCACTCCAGCCTGAGCAACAGAGTGAGACCCTGTCTAAAAAAAAGAAGGGAAAAAGAAAAGTTGTTTCTGTGAAAACTAAGTTAAGTGTTTCGAATAGCCCTGAGAAAAGCAAGCTTCTAAATAGAAATTGATGAAGAATTAGTTGTAAGATAAAGATGGAGGGGGAGGAAAATTATAAAAATCTGGAAGGGTTCTGTATGCTGCTTAGCCAGTGTCTTTAAATTCTCATTAAATTCAAAATGAACCAAAAAAGGAAATCACCTGATTCATGCAGGGAAGACAATGTGAGACTTCACCCAATTAACTCATTTGTTAATCAACCATTAACCCAATATTAATATTAGTATTCACAGTACAAATTAGTATACAGAATACTAGTATGTGTAAGTTAAAAGATAAGATAAAATATTCATAATGTAAGGTTTTCTGTTTCTCTATCCTAACCCACTTTTTCAACTAAGCCTCAACACCAGTCAATGGTCAAATGATATTAGGCTGACCTCTCAGCTACACACAAGAACATATTAAAATGGAGCACTGACCAGGCGCAATGGTTCACACCTGTAATCCCAGCATATTGGGAGGCCAAAGCAGGTGGATTGCTTGAGTTCAGGAGTATGAGACCAGCCTGGGCAACATGGCAAAACATCATCCCTATAAAAAAAAAAATACAAAAATTAGCCAGGCATGGTGATGCGTGCCTGTGGTCCCAGCTACTCAGGAAGCTGAGGTGGGAGGATTGCTGGAGCCCAGTGGGTAGAGGCTGCAGTGAGCTGAGATCACACTACTGCACTCCAGCCTGGGCAACAGAGTGAGACCTTGTCTCAAAAGAAAAAAAAAAAGTGAGTACTAGGAATATTATTCAGCCTTTAAAAGGAAGGAAATTCTGCCACATGTTACAACATGGATGAACCTTGAGGACTTTATGCTAAGTGAAATAAGCCAGTCACAAGAGGACAAATACTGTATGACTACACTTAAATGAGGTACTTATGCTACCAAAATGCCAGGGGTTCGGTCTAGATTCTGCTGCTTGCTGTAGAAAGCCAATACTGAGACAATGAGTATTGCCAGGGAAGAAGGCTTTATTCAGGTGCTGCAGCCCAAGAGATAGGAGACCAATCTCAAATCCATCTCCCTGACCAACTAAACTCAAGGGTTTATATAGCAGGGAGGAAATGTAGCTACATGCAGGAAAACAGGAATTAGGGAGGAATAAGAAAGAGGAGTTGGGCAATAGGAAGCAGGTGGTCAGTTAGGCAATCATGGCATCTTATTGTCCAGATATAGTGGCCTCGTGAGTTTCAGCTCCTTGATCCTATCTGGGAGACCTCATGGTTGGTTTCCCAAGAAAGGAACTCAGATAAGACAAATGTACCTTTTTCATGTTTTTAAGACTGGGAGGATCAATTTCTATGCTTATTCAAAGAAACCATAAACATCAGTTCTATGGGACAATTCGGCCAGTTTCACTTAGTGTAGTTAAGATCATAGAGAAAGAAAGTACAATGGTGGTGGTGAGGGGCTGGAGGGAGTGGGGATGGGAAGTGGTTGTTTAATGAGTACGGAGTCTCAGTTTCACGAGATGAAAAGAGTTCTAGAGATGGATGGTGGGGATGTTTGCGAAACAATGTGAATGTATTTAATGCCACTGAACTGTACACTTAAAAATGGTTAAGACGCTACATTTTATGTTATGTGCATTTTACAATAAAAAAATTGGCAGGGGGTAAGGGAGTGCTAGAGTGTTTACATCCCATTTTATAGGGTGTTCCGGCAGAATTTCAAATAACACACAAACTTCACTGCCCTTCCTAATATTTCCATTGCTGTGGGTTCTAGACAACCTGATGAGGTAAAACAGACAGTTTCCCAAAGATAGGGCTTTTGATTTGGTTTTGCTTGACAACTGAAGTTTTGCTGTTGTTGTTGTTATAGGGTCTGTCTCCATTTCCTTCTAATCCTTTGCCTGAGATTACCTGAGTAACTTTAAAAATATGGAAAAACTACCATTTGCCCTGAAAAGAGACAACGCTACTTGCCAAGCCCATACAGCCAGAGACCAGCATGTCTTATTTTGCCTGCACATAGTAGGATATCAACATATGTTTGCTGAATTAATTAATGAACAAATGAACATTTCATTTCTTGGCTGCAAAAAAGAGAAGAAAAAACCACAGGAAAAGTTGGGGGAAAAGAAAAGGGAAATGCGAAAAGTTACCCCAGTACATGTAGCAAAATCATCTATTTATGTTGTATTACTTGGGTTGGAAGTTACCTACAGAAGACAGAAATCATTTTAGCAGAAATTTCTGCATCAGATGCAGCCCAGCCCCATGACCAGTTTAACAGGTCTCAGGGCAGATGGTGAGGGATTCATAATCAAACTTCCATTCCCAACCCCAGCGCACTGCCCCCTTATTTGGACCCACTAGTGGTGATCAAGCCCCTTGCTGGTTGGTTCTTGCTTCTTGGGAAGCTGGGAGCTGATGGGAACCCTGGTCAAGAGATCCCACCCTGGAATACAAATTAGTACAGCCACTTATGTATATTTTAAGCCTATTGAAAAAAAATAGGGGTCTTTCCTCTTGGAAGACTCCTCTCTCTCAACAGAGAGAGAGCTGTTTTTCTTTCTTTTTCTTCTACCTATTAAACCTCTGCTCCTAAACTCCTCTTGTGTGTCAGTGTCCTAAATTTTCCTGGCTCAAAACAACGAACCCCAGGTATATACCCCAGACAAAGTAGTCACTTCATATTGGGGACATCCTCTGGGATACCAAGGTACAACATTCACTGAAACACAGTATCTGGTGGAGGCAAACCAGTGTTACAGACCATCGGAATAGCTGACAGCAATCAAATTCAAAATGGTGCTACAGACAGAACCATGCACGGACATGCCTTTCTTTCGAGGACCCTTAGATCGACCCCAGGAGGAGCCCTAGCTGCTCTTCCCCACACAATGCTACTTGTCAGCAGAAAGTAGCCAGAAAGAGTCATCATCCAACACCCCCTAACAGCAGTTAGGGTTACCACTCCAGAGTAGGGAATGATACAGGAGTTAAGAATAAATTACTTAGGCAGATAGTGATGGTATGGAAGTCCTCGGACAGGTTTTCCTTTTAATGAAAAGCAGCCCCAAATCATTTTCCTTTCTAACAAAGAGCAGCCTGCAAAATCAAGCGTCAGACATAGATGCCGGCAGTTGAGCCAATCATGTTAAAGACAGCGGCTCCATCTCCCCTTGTCTTTGTCAGCCACGTGTACAGCAAACACCAGACATGATGACCCCAGTCAACTGGAAAGCCTATTCACATAACAAGATTAGGGTGGGGTGGCCAGCCTTTCCTGTGCGCTATGTAAACGTCATACGTGATCAAACCAATCTGTGAGCCCTATGTAAATCAGACATCACTTCCTCAAGCCTGACTCTAAAATCCAGTGCACTGGTTCCTGGGCAGTCTTTCCTCTTGGAAGTCCCAGAGAGACAGGTGGTTTTCTTTCTCTTTCTCCTGCCTATTAATCCTGCACTCCTAAACTCAAAAAGAAAAAGAAAAAAAATGGTACAGCCACTATGGAGAACAATATTGCAGTTCCTCAAAAAATTAAAAATAGATATGACAATATGATCTGACAATTTCACTAGTGGTTATAGTTAAAAGAAAGGAAATAAATATATCAAAAAGACATCTGCATTCCCATGTTTACCGCAGCACTATTCACAATCGCCAGAATATGAAATCAACCTCAGTGTCCATCAGTGGATGAATGAATAGAGAAAATGCAGTATATACCCACAATGGAATATTATTCAGCTATAAAAAAGAATGAGGTCCTGTCATTTGCAGCAACATGGATGGAACTGGAGGTCATTCCGTTAAGTGAAATAAGCCAGGCACAGAACGACAAAGATCTCGCGTTCTCACTCATATGTGGGAGTTTAAAAGGTGGATCTCATGAAATTAGAGAATAGATTGGTGTTTAACAGAAGTTGGGAAGGGGCAGGGGGGCAGGAGAATGAAGAGAAGTCGATTGATGGGTACACATACGCAGTTTGATATAAGAAATGAGACCCAGTGTTCCATAGATCAGTGGGTTGACTATAGGTTACCATAATCTATTGTATATTTCAAAATAGCTAGAAGAGAAGAATTTGAATTTTTCTAGCATAAAGAAAAGACAATATTTAAGGTGATGGGTATCCCAAGTACACTGATTTGATCCTAACAAATTACATGAATGTATTAAATTATTACATGTACCCTGAAACTATGCACATCTATTATGCATCAGTTTTTAAAAACAAAAACTTGATTATCTGCAAAGACTCTGTTTCCCAATAAAGTCTCACTCACGGATCTTGGGGTTAGGACTTCAACATATTTTGAGAGGCACAGTTCAACCCATAACACATATTTGCACATAATAGAGTGCTTAAGAGCTCCAGATCCCCCTTAATCAGACCAAATCCCAGCTCCACCACTTATAGGCTGATGGCCTGTGACAAGTCATTTCACATCTCTGGGCTTCGGTTTCCTCATCTGTAAAATGGGTCTCATAACTCTACCTACTTTGTGGGGCATCAAAGGATTCAACAAAATCATGTATTTGTTCAATCAATGTTGATAATACTCCTGTGGCCTGCCAGCCTTAGGCAAGCTGTAAACAAAAGACAAATCCCTGCCCCTGTGGAGCTTATTAAGAACAAAGGGGCTGCAGAGCCACTTTATATTTTAAAAAATAGGCCAGGGGCAGTGGCTCATGCCTGTAATCCCAAAGCTTTGGGAGGCTGAGGCAGGAGGATCGCTTCAGGCCAGGAGTTTGAGTCCAGCCTGGACAACATGGTGAAACCCTGTCTCTAACAAAAATACAAAAAGTTAGCTGGGCATGGTGGCACATGCCTGTAGTCCCAGCTACTCGGGATGCAGAGGCAGGAGAATCGTGTGAGCCCAGGAGGCGGAGGTTGCAGGGAGCCGAGATTGCAGCACTGCACTCCAGCCTAGGAGACAGAGTGAGACCCCATCTCAAAATAAATAAATAAATAAATAAATAAATAAATAAACAAACAAGTAAAATATCTAGGCTAGCAGAGGGCGAAGAGTGAGATTATTTCTATGTGCATCATTTATGGCTGAAAAATAGAAAAATGACGCAAGTGATAGCCTCAGCAAAACATCTGCATGAAGTAAAAGAGGTGGCTGTTTAGTGAATCCCCATAAAAAGAGAGGGGAAAAAAGGTCTGTAACAGTGAAATTATCCTAACTCAAGGGATGCTCGTAGCATGGTGCCTGGCACCTGGTGATCTTCTGCTGCTTGTGATTATAACTCTCCCAAGAAAGGAAGTCACAGGAAGCATGTCCACTGTATGCCAGTGTGAAGCCCAGCCAGCCATGCTCCCAAAGGGCCACTTTACCCACCACAGTCCCAAAGCAGCCAGGAAGGCTCAAGAAGGAACAAGGAAGGCCAGGTGGGTGGCCTTGGAGGACTCTGCTCCCTTTCATCCATCCCCAGGCTGGGGGTTAATTTTGCAGCTGCACCCCCAGCCAATGAATTGTTCTCAAAGTGCATGGAAACACTGCTGTTGGAAAAACTGTGAAGAACCATAAGAGGGCAAGAAATAAAAATGCTGAAAGAAGCCAGACCCCAAAAGCCACCATATTATAGGATTCCATTTACAGGAAACATCCAGAAGAGAAAAATCTATACAGACAGAGAGTAGATTGCCAGGGGCTGAGGGAAGGAGCTTGGGGAGAAACAGGAAATTGCTACTAAAGGGTCTTTGCTTTCTTTGGGGGTAATGAAAATGTTCTAAAATTGGGGTGATGGTTGCACAACCCTGTGAATATATTAAAAACCACAGAATGGTACACTTCAAATGGGAGAATTGTGTGGTATGTGAATTATATCTCAATAAAGCTGTCATTTAGGAAAAAAAAAAACAGTTGCCTTGGCTCTAAACTTACTTCTCCAATTCCTCTGAGAATGCCAAATCACTGCCATCTCTCTGATTAGGGCTGAATTCATTTCACAGTAATTTTTAAAAGAGTATTTTCTCAACACCTGAAATAGGCCCTTTGATGTCTGTCCAAAGCCCTCCTGGGAATTCTTATCTATTTAAAAGAGGGAATGAGTATTAAGAGCTTGGCTTTCCTAGCTAGCCAGACATCCATGTTAATTTCCACATCTCCACGTTACTATGGCAACAGAGAGCTTCCACTGAGAGCTTTTTGGGGGGCATCAAAATGGACTGCAATTTGGACTCAGGGAGTCCACAGCCCCTCTGCCCAGCAGCCCCCAGACCCTGGCTACCTTGAATCAGGTGAAACAGAGAAATCAGAGAAGGGGAGGATGTAGGCTCCACTGGGTCTTCACTCCATCCTGGCCCAAACTGAGTCACCGTCCCCATGCAGGAAGAGAAGTGTTAGTCACATCTTTCAGAGGCTGTGATCTAAAACAGCGTATTGAGCACCTGAGTCAGTCTCCATGTCAACATGACCATATTTTTAGGCAGGAGTAGGCAGCTTCTTGGGCCAATTAGAGTAGTACAGCTAGAAAGCAGTCAGTAAACAGCTGGGAGAAAAGCAGTCAGCCACTGGGAGTCCACTGTTCTCACAGAGGAGTCTCACAAATGCAGAAGCTCCCTGCCTTGAGGTACCCAAAGAGTCCACCACATAAGGCCCAGGAGGCCTGAAGTCCATCCTGTCAGGCAGAATCAATCACTGGGACAGAGAAGGGAAGAGGCAGTGCATAAGACAGGCAGCCTCAAAGATGGGCCCCACTGATCCTCATCTCCTGGTGAGCCTTATGTAGCCCCCTCATACCTTGAACCAAGATTGATCTGTGTTGTGGCCAATAGAGTACAGCGAAGGTTAAATTGTGCCTTCTGAAGCTAGATCATAAAAGACACCACACTCTTGGGTCATTCATGCTGGAGAAGCCAGCTGCCATGTTGAGAGGACACTCAAGCAGTCCTACGGGGCAGCCCACATGAGAGGAACTGAAGCCCCCAGCCACCAGCCATGTGAGCCACCTTGGAAATGGAGCCTTCAGCACCAGTCAAGCTTTCAGATGATTGCAGCCCCAAACACTATCTTGACTTCAATCTCAAGAACGTCTGCCAGCTAGAACCATCCAGCTAAACTGCTCCCAGATTACTGACCCACACAATATAATGTAAAGTAAAAAATGTTTGCTGTTGTTTTAAGCTACTAAGCATTGGGGTTATTTGTTACACAGCAATGGATAACAGACATAGGGTGGATGTCAGAAATTGTCTCGAGAAGATGACTTTATGAAGATTTTTCCTCCTCGCTCCTTCCCCTACCCTTAAAGCATTTTTACAGTAGAAGGGGACATGTTAACGGGTAGGGAATCTAGAGACTTGGATTTGTATTCTGGCTCTGTCCTTAGTTTTTCCACCTCCAAAGCTGAGGAGCTAAAATGTAACCTGAGATCTCTGAAAGCCTAGGGTCTCATAATCGTCAAAACCACAGTTTTGAGTCAGGAAGACTGGTTGTGAACCCTGGCTCTGCCACTTGCTTGCTGTGTGACCTCAGACTAATTACTTAATTTATCTGAGCCTCATTTTCACCTTCTATAAAGTGGGTTTAATAATATCTAGTTCATGGCGTTGTTACAAAAATTCAATCAAATACCATACAAATTACTTAGCACACAGTAAGTGCTCAGTTGTCACCACTACCAAAAATGAGATAGCATGGTGGGTACGATTATTTCCACTTGTAGCTAAGATACAGTAGGATCAGAGGAGCAGTTAGAGGATTTCGTTGGTCTGGAGCAAGGCCCCATGTGGTTGTTTTTCCAAAACCCCCCCAAATGATTCTTTGAGAAACTTTGTCCTAGAGAAACTTCCACACATGTGCCAAAAAATCATACAAGTATTTCACTGCAGTCTGTGATAGGGAAAAATTGGAAACAATCCAAATGCCCATCAACAGGTAAATGGGAAATAAATTGTTAATGGAATACTATACAGCACTGTAAAATTAATGAACCAGAACTATGCATATCAGCATGAGCATAAATCTCTAAGACATAATTCTGAGCCCCAAAATGCAGAAGGATCCACACGGTATATATCATGCATAAAAATCTGCATAACATCATTATATATTATTTATGGATACATGCATGTGGATAAAAGCAAAAAGCCATGCATGGAGGCAGCAGCACCAAATTCAACATGGTAGTGACCTCTGGGAGGGAGGGAAGGGCATGTGAAGGGGAGAAGGCCCATGGGGCTTCAGTGTATTGGTGACATGGTATTTCTTAAACTGGATGGCAGGTATACAAGCGCCCATTGCACTGTTGATGTCTTTTGGATATCAGAAATATTTCATCATTTAAAAATAGATGTGGCCAGTTGTGGCGGCTCATGCTTATAATCCCAGCACTTTGGGAGGCTGAGGTGGGAGGATTTCTTGAGCCCAGGGGTTGAAGACCAGACTGGGCAACATAGTGAAACCCCATCTCTACAAAAAAAAAAAATTGTTTAAATTAGCCAGTCATGGTGGCATGCACCTGTAGTCCCAGCTACTTGGGAGGCTGAGGCAGGAGGATCACTTAAGCCCAGGAGGTTGAGGCTGTAGTGAGCTGAGATCATGCCACTGCACTCCAGCCTGGGTGACAGAGTGAGACCCTGTGTCTACAAAAAAAAAATTTTTTTAATTAGCCAGTCGTGGTGGCACACACCTATAGTCCCAGCTACTTGGGAGGCTGAGGCAGGAGGATCATTTAAGCCCAGGAGGTTGAGGCTGCAGCGAGCCGAGATCGTGCCACTGCCCTCCAGCCTGGGTGACAGAGTGAGACCCTGTCTCAAAAATAAATAAATGTGCATAGAGAAATATGGAGTAGAATTGTGAATGTGTATTTTTTTCTTGTTTTTTGTGGATTCTATATCTGTAATGATCTCATGTTGTTTTTAAGAAATAAAATAGTTGTTCAACAGGTGAAAAGCAGTTACGTTTAATTTTTTCCAAGTAAGAAGTACCACTTCCCCAAATGATTTGCTTTGAAAACAACACTCATCTGCATGTCTGAGTTTTGAAATATTGGTGATTTGAGACCATACGACATGAGAAACATCCTGAGGCCAGAACACAAGCCTTTAGCCCAGGGACACTCACATGGGGTCCCCCAAGCCCTGTTTCTTGGGGATGCCTCAGAAACTGGGTCTGACCCCACCAGGTATGTCTTTTCTTTTTTTTTTTTTTTTTTGAGACGGAGTCTCGCTCTGTTGCCCAGGCTGGAGTGCAGTGGTGCGATCTCAGCTCACTGCAAGCTCCGCCTCCCGGGTTCACGCCATTCTCCTGCCTCAGCCTCCCGAGTAGCTCGGACTACAGGCGCCCATCACCACGCCAGGCTAATTTTTTGTATTTTTAGTAGAGACGGGGTTTCACTGTGTTAGCCTGGATGATCTCGATCGCCTGACGTCGTGATCTGCCCGCCTCGGCCTCCCAAAGTGCTGGGATTACAGGTGTGAGCCACCGCGCCTGGCCCCCACCAGGTATGTTTTAAA
This sequence comes from Homo sapiens, assembly GCF_000001405.40. Classification (NCBI taxonomy): domain Eukaryota; kingdom Metazoa; phylum Chordata; class Mammalia; order Primates; family Hominidae; genus Homo; species Homo sapiens. The sequence continues at coordinate 108,511,543 of NC_000012.12, forward strand.
AGGAGGATTAATCAGTAGCAGGGAGAAGGGCTGCTGGGCTCTCTTTTTCAGCCACAGCATTAAGTTAGACAGAGAAAAAAAAATCAGGGGTGGGGAAAGATGAGAGAAATGAAGAAGCAAGAACAGGTGTGGTGTATTTTCTTTTTAATGAAGTTGAGTCATTCTGCAGCCAACTCAATGCCATGTAGCCTCAAGCCGGGGAGTTTTGTTTTTCCTAAGCAATAGAATCCGACTCTGCCAGCAAGAAGCGCTTGACTGCTGTTCCTTAAACATGCAGAAGGGTTTTTTGTCTTGTTTTGTTTTGCATAATGGACATATTTCCCATGCAGCCACTTTCTGGGTTCTTTGTCATGTGTCAAGGTAAGCGTTTAGAAAACTCCTCCGTGGGCCACGGGGAGGCAATTTTCACCTAGTACAGAATGCTTAAGATGGAGAAAGCCAACTTTTCAATATCGCTTCAGGGACCATATTTTGTGCATTCAACACAGCTGAATGCAGACAAAGTCGAGAGTTAAAATTTTTTGAGTGTAAACTCCTGACAAGGAGATTGAAGGAGGGAAGTGATGTCAGGTGAATTACTGCCCCCTGGTGGCCAGACACAGTAATGGGCTCATTTTGCTGTAATAGTCCTTTGAGTCTTTTCTTCCTGCGTTCCCCTGCCATCTTCCACTACCGGCTACAAAGGGGTTACAATCTGGCGGCCCTGGAAAGCCAGCCGGCAGCCATGCCAACTGCCTTAAAATCTGGAGATACTGCTTAAAAAATCTAGGCCTCACATTTATTTTGAAAAATTGAAAACTCTATCCACTTTTAGACTGCATCCCAGCTAATAAATACGGGTTCGAGCTGAGAAGCTGCTGCCCACTTTAGACAAGGCATGTGCTCTCAAATCTGCCATACTCCCCACCTCTACCTATTGTCTCATGGCCAGGAAGCTTTGCTCATTAGCAGTTCCTGCATAGCCTCTGGATTTACTACTCGTAGCCTAAGCTAATTAAAGACTTAACAAAGAGAGGAGGGTGCCTTTAGAAGCAGAGGACTACATTGCTTTATACCTGGGTGTGGACAGGGGTCCACTAGTCCCTTAATACCCAGCTCAGTGAGGATAAGTGACTTGTTCAAGGTCACCCAGCCAGCAAGCGGTGGGCCTTGCATTTCAACGCACATCTGTCTGACCCCAGAGCTTCACTGTTTTCTAACATACTGTCACCCATAAGCTGGCTGCCTACCAGGCCCTCCTCTGGGGAAGGTTTTTACAATGACATTACTACTTGGGCCATCAGGAAGTGCAATTCAGAGGACTCCAAGAGAAAAATGTTTATGACCTTGGTTGAAAAGATTAAAAACGAGAAGCCACCAAAATAATCACCACCCTGATTTTGTTCCTTAAAAACTATGGATCTTCTGGCCAGGCGCGGTGGCTCAAGCCTGTAATCCCAGCACTTTGGGAGGCCAAGGCAGGTGGACCACTTGAGGTCAGGAGTTGAAGACCAGCCTGGCCAACAGAATGAAACCCCGTGTCTATTAAAAATACAAAAAAATTAGCCGGGTGCAGTGGCACATGCCTGTAATCCCAGCTACTCAGGAGGCTGACGCAGGAGAATCGCTTGAACCCAGAAGGTAGAGATTGCAGTGAGCCAAGATCACACCACTGCACTCCAGCCTGGGTGACAGAGCAAGACTCTGTCTCAAAAACAAACAAACAAACAAAAAAACAATTAGCCTGTGTGTGCCTGTAGTCCCAGCTACTAGGGAAGCTGAGATGGGAGGATCACTTAAACCCAGGACATGGAGGTTGCAGTGAGCCAAGATCATGCCACTGCACTCCAGCCTGGGCAACAGAGTGAGATCCTATTTCAAAAAAGATAGATAGGTGATAGATAGATAGATAGATAGATAGATAGATAGATAGATAGATAGTTTGCTCTGTGCCAGATGTATAGAATCTCATTTCACCCTCACATAAAACCTTGTGAAGTGGTAATATCATCACACTGTGCACAGTTTACAGAAAAGCCTAGACAGATGATCAACAAGATCAAGTCACTTGCTGAATGTGATTCAGTTTGCAAGGGGCAGAACTGGGATTTGAACCCAGGTCTGTGTGACTCCCAACAGTGACACCCCACAACCACCACCTAGCCCTGCCTCCAAGAGCAATACACGTCACAGAGGAGGTCAGATCTTGAAGCATCAAGCCTTCTGCAAATCCTGAACTGGATGCCAAAAGCAAGGTAGGCTGTTTGTCCCCATTTTACAAGTGGGGAAAGTGAGGCTAGGAGTAACGTGCCCAAGGTGACACGGAGAGTAAATGGCAAAGTCTGAATTTGAGCTCAGGTCTCTTTGACTCCCCAGAATCTGAACTGCTAACTTCTAAATGCTTAGCGTTTCTGGGGCACCTCCCTAGATGTTTAATTTCAGTATTTGTGGATTAAGATGGAGGTTTCCATTCTCTGCTTCAAGGAAAAAATTTCTCTCTGGGAAGCCAAAAGAACTAGCCAGGTCCTTCTGGAGAGGATACAAATTAAAAAGTCAGGGAGAACCGAGGGGGTGGCTTGCGCCTGTAATCTTAGCGCTTTGGGAAGCCGAGATGGAGGGAGAGCTTAAGGTCAAGAGTTCGAGACCAGCCCGGGCGACATAGTGAGACCCGGTCTCTAAAGAAAATAAAAAATCAGAAATAGGTCGGGCGCGATGGCTCACGCCTGTAATCCCAGCACTTTGGGAGGCCGAGGCAGGCGAATCTTCTGAGGTCAGGAGTTCGAGACCAGCCTGGCCAACGTGGTGAAACCCCATCTCTACTAAAAATACACAAATTAGGCGGGCGTGGTGATGCGCGCCTGTAATCCCAGCTACTCGGGAGGCTGAGGCAGGAGAATCGCTTCAACCTGGGAGGCGGAGGTTGCAGTGGGCCAAGATCGTGCCACTTCCCTCCAGCCTGGGCAACAGAGTGCGATTCCGTCTCAAAAAAAAAGAAAGAAAGCAAGACAGAGAGAGAGAAAAAAAAAGAAAGAAAGAAAGAAAAGAAAAGAAAAGAAAATTCGCCGGGCATGGTGGCATGCACCTGTAGTCCCAGCTACTCGGGAGGCTGAGATGGGAGGATTGCTTGAGCCCAGGAGGTGGAGGCTGCAGTGAGCTGCAATTGCTCCACCGCACTCCAGCCTGGGCGACACAACGAGACCCTGTATTTTATAAGAAAAAAAAAAGTTGTTTAAGTCAGGGAGGAAAAGACACAGAGAGGAAAAGAGTAAAGAAGAAGAAGGCGGCAAACTCAGCAGCATGGGGTGGAGGCTAAGAACAGGGGCTGCGCAGTCAAGCAGGCTAACCGGGTGAAGGGGTGAAAAGCATCAGCATCTTCATTTCACAACCGGGAAAAATGAGGCACACGACAGCGGCTCCGGGACGAAGAGACCCGAGGAAAAGACCGCCGTGGAACTTCCAGTTTCCGGGCCCGCCACCTAGTGTGCCCCAAATCCGCACGCCCATCGGGTTTCCAGCACCTGCTCCTCCTGCCTGTGGCCTAGGCCCCGCCCCTCCCGCTGCTTATTGGCTGCTACGTGAACGAGACAAACGCAAGCAACAACCAATGGGAGTGGCCCACGGCGCGTCTTTCCCGGGGAAGCCGACGCGGACGCGGGAACCCGGAAATGCGAGGGAAGGACAAGTGGGGAAAGCCAATCCGCCGCGACGAGGGCTGCGGGCGGTTCAATGGCAAGTCGCCGGGGGCGGGGCCAGAGGCCGGCGGAGAAGGAGGACCCGGGAGCCGGCGGCCCGGAGCTGGGAGCGCGGGGAAGGCGGTTGGGGTTCTGACAGCTGCGCGCGGTGAGAAGGGGAAAAGCCCTAGGGGCTCGAGAGGATGAAGCCGGGAAGGGTGCGACGGGGCCGCGAGCCCTGGGCGGGGTTCGGGAAGGGAGGCTCTGCAGTCTTGGAGGGGACTCAGACCGGTCCCCTCCCCTCTCCGGGCCTCAGTTCTCCCTTTCTAGGGAAGTGTGGGGGAGAGATTCGCGCCTCCCAGAACGCACTCCTTCCCTGCACACACCCCTGGCACCGGCGAACTGCCCCCTTTCCTGTACCGCCCCGCCCAGGAGCCTGTCCCCTCGGGAAGCCCGCCCAGACCCCTGGACCCGCGCAGCACTCCAGGCGCACCCCTATTAAAGCGCACCCCAAGCCATTTCACATGTTCTGTGGCAATGGGCCAGGATCCCCATGAGACTCAGAACCCCGTGATCCATCAGTCATTCCCGGGTCAGGACCAGCCCAGAGCAGGTGCACAGGCCCTGCTTAGTAATAAGGTAGAAATCGAGACCTGGGGACCGGGTTCAGAGGCCCTGGGGTTTCCTTCCGGATGCCTCTGTTTACCTCCTGTGGGCCTTCTGGAATTTAACTTATGCTCTCTGTGTCTTGGTTTCCCTTGTCTGTAAAATGGAGCTAGCGGTAGCTCTTCCTTCATAGGGTGGCATGAGGGTGAAACGAGGCAATGCGTGGCCAGTACACTGCTCAGCACCTAGGACACCATAGTTGCTTAATAAGTGCTTATTGTTAGCATAGTGTTTGCATGCCTGGCCCCACCTCCACTCCCACTGCCAGCCCCAAGCACATACAAGCCATGTTGTCACTGAGGCCAAGCACTGTGGCCCACAGCCTGAGTTCCTTTCGAGATGCTCGAACTGCTCATCTTCTTGATGGGGTCCCTTCTGGACAGGCCAGAAATGGAAGGCCAGAGAGGGGAAGGGCACTGTGGGAGCTGTGGCTGAATATCAGGGTGAGGGCAATAAATGAGGCCACCCAACAATTGTGCTTATCAAAGATTGGGCGTCAGAACTGCTGTGGCTGATCTGCCTGGGTGTCTGTCAGTCATTTATGTCCCAAATGTTTGACATATGTCCACAAATCCAGTGTTTGTGGTCAGAAGCCACAGGGATATATGGGAAGGGGGGACACTTTAGAGCCGTGGGGTTCCTGAGTTCAAGTCCTAAGGCTGTCACTTGCTCCCGGCGAGACTTTCGGCAAGGGACTTCACCTCTCTGAACCTCAGTTCCCTCACCTGGAGAAGGGTGAAAACATCAGCTCAAGTCGTTGAAGATTGCAGGAGGTGACCCATGTGAGGCATTTGGTGCTTAGCACACGGCCTGGATTATGGCAAGTGCTCATTAATTGTTGGACCACAGCAGTGTTTTCACATTCATACTGCCCAGGAGGTGGCACCAGTCCTTCTAGGCTGGCCCCTCCTCTAGTGAGATCCAGTCCTTGACTTGCCCCCACCCCATCTCTCTAGTGAGCTAAAAGAGCAGAAGTCTCCAAACCCATCTTCCCAGCTGAAGTCACACTATGTCCTGAACGTGTCTGTTTCTCCTGCGACTCTTGGCTCCTTGCAGATCCTGCTCTCTCTCAGCCGCCTGTGGACATGCGCAAAGGGCCCTCTCCTGAGTCCAGATGATGCTCATACCAATGGCTTCAGTGATGGCGGTGACTGAACCGAAATGGGTCTCGGTCTGGAGCCGCTTCCTCTGGGTGACGCTGCTGAGCATGGTGCTGGGGTCCCTGCTGGCCCTGCTGCTGCCGCTGGGGGCTGTGGAGGAGCAGTGCTTGGCTGTGCTCAAAGGCCTCTACCTGCTCAGGAGCAAACCGGACAGGGCGCAGCATGCCGCCACCAAGTGCACCAGCCCGTCCACGGAGCTCAGCATCACCTCCAGGGGCGCGACGCTGCTGGTGGCCAAGACCAAGGCCTCTCCAGGTAAGACAGACTGGCCGTCTTCCTCAATGCTTGTTAACTGGATAGACAGACATAGAATGTGTCATGTCCTGTATGTGGGGCATCGGGGTATTGTGAACAAGTCAGCCCTGAGCTCCTAGTATAGACAAGGTGATGTGACTGAGACAGTGTCACAAGTGTGGTGATGGGGAAGCATAAAGGGCTGTAGGAGCATACCAGGAAGGCTCCCTGGAGGAAGTGACACCTGAGCTGGGACCCAGTTGTTAAGTAGGAGTCATCCAGGGTGAAGGGCATCCAAGGAAAAGGACTCCAGGCAGAGACCAGAGGTTAGTTGTCATAACTGACATAACTGTCGTAAGAGAGCCTGGGGGCATTCGAGGAACTAAAGGAAGTTGAATGTGTGGGGCTGATCCTCAGGTGGCCAAGAGGGGCCAGGACAGGAGGGCTAGGGCTAGAGCAGGCTCCCCACCTCCACCAGTTCTCTGTGGTGGGGACTGAAAGTGCATTGTTAGATGGTGGTGGCATCCCTGGCCTCTCCCCATGAGATGCCTGTAGCACTCCCTCCACCTCCTCAGTTATGACAACTAACCAGGTCTCCAGACGTCACCAAATGTCCCCTGGGGCGCACAATCAAACCACTGGGTTAAAAGAGTTAAAGAACAGTCCCGGGATGGTTGACGCCCCCAGGGTCTAGGAAGAGTGGGGAGTTGTTAACGCCTTTGGGCCTCCCGGGGCAGGAACCTGTGTCACCAGCACAAGATGAGCTGGAGATGTAGGAGACGGCCTACACTGGGAGCTGTGGCCCACAGGAAAGGCCCAGCAGAGAGGGCCCAGGCGAAGTAAATGCCTAGAACTTTCTATGTCCAGAAAGCAGGAGGCTAGGAAGCCAAGGAGGTGCCTCCCAGAATACAAGAGAGTGGCTCTGGGGACACACGGATAGTGACTGCATACCACCACACGGCTGGGGCAACAGAGTGGTACCGGGCATGTTGAGTACACACGATGCGGCTGCAACAAGCTCCTCAAGGCCAGGGACACAGGCTGGTCATCATGGTTTCCTGCGGAGACCAGCACAGGGGACAGCCCCCCGAATGTCCTCTGCCCCCTAGCCTCCCTCCCTCACAGCGCTTCTTTGGCTCTCTTCCAGCGGGTAAGTTGGAAGCCAGAGCTGCCCTGAACCAGGCCCTGGAGATGAAGCGCCAGGGCAAGCGGGAAAAAGCCCAAAAGCTCTTCATGCACGCCCTCAAGATGGACCCGGACTTCGTGGACGCGCTCACCGAGTTTGGCATCTTCTCGGAAGAAGACAAGGACATCATCCAGGCGGACTACTTGTACACCAGAGCATTGACCATCTCACCCTACCATGAGAAAGCACTGGTCAACCGCGATCGGACACTGCCTCTTGTGGAAGAGATCGACCAGAGGTATTTCAGCATCATCGACAGCAAAGTGAAGAAGGTCATGTCCATCCCCAAGGGGAACTCAGCTCTGCGCAGGGTCATGGAGGAGACCTACTACCATCACATCTACCACACAGTGGCCATCGAGGGCAACACCCTCACCCTCTCGGAAATCAGGCACATCCTGGAGACCCGCTACGCCGTGCCCGGGAAGAGCCTGGAGGAGCAGAACGAGGTCATAGGCATGCATGCAGCCATGAAGTACATCAACACGACTCTGGTTTCGCGCATCGGCTCCGTCACCATCAGCGACGTGCTGGAGATCCACAGGCGGGTGCTGGGCTACGTGGACCCCGTGGAAGCCGGCAGGTTTCGGACAACACAGGTCCTGGTCGGACACCACATCCCTCCCCATCCGCAGGATGTGGAAAAGCAGATGCAGGAGTTTGTACAGTGGCTCAACTCCGAGGAAGCCATGAACCTGCACCCAGTGGAGTTTGCAGCCTTAGCCCATTATAAACTCGTTTACATCCACCCTTTCATTGATGGCAACGGGAGGACCTCCCGTCTGCTCATGAACCTCATCCTCATGCAGGCGGGCTACCCGCCCATCACCATCCGCAAGGAGCAGCGGTCCGACTACTACCACGTGTTGGAAGCTGCCAACGAGGGCGACGTGAGGCCTTTCATTCGCTTCATCGCCAAGTGTACTGAGACCACCCTGGACACCCTGCTTTTTGCCACAACTGAGTACTCGGTGGCACTGCCAGAAGCCCAACCCAACCACTCTGGGTTCAAGGAGACGCTTCCTGTGAAGCCCTAACCCTAGAAATCCTCAGTGACAAAGGCTGTCCTGAGGTAGGAAAAAAAAAAAGAAACAGCATTTCTAGAAACCTAGTCACTTCCTAAAGCAAAAGGAGAAACATTCTTTACCTCCAAATGTTTTAGTTTTAAAAAAAAAAAAAAACTAAGTTATGAAGCCTTGTCTCTAAAATAACTTATAATTCAACCAAGCTATTTATTTTCTTCTTTGGAGCAAGCTAGTCAGTATTGTATGGTGTCTGCTGTGTCTTGCTGGTGGCCGTGCTTTAGGGGCAACAGTGCCACCATGTGACCAGAACAAAGGTTCTGGAGCAGAATTTGCACTAAGGTGGAGGAGCGGCCAAGAGGTGTGGGACGGGGCCCAGAGCCACTGACATAACTCCTCCAAGTGCTTCTCTGAAACAGGCTGAGAGGTTCTGTGACTGCAACTGGGAAGTCAGACCCAAGTCGCAGCTGAGAGAAATGGTTGAAAGCTCACTTTCTCAAGGTTTAGATTAGTGGTGACTAACTTCCAAGCAAACTTCATAGAAGAGAAAATGAATGCCGACATTCCTTACTTACCTGCAGGAAGACTTTTTGAGCCATAGTTTGCAAACTTTAGTGCCAGCAGCTGTTTTTTTTTTTTTTTTTTTCATATTGAGACTATTTTTCTAATTAAGAATAGGGGGTAGCCATAAAGAGCTGTATGTTGGAGGGGGAAACATGGTGGGCGGGCAGTTTGGTTTTCTTTGTGTATCCGCGTTTCTCTCACACTTCATTTGTAGCAACTCAGGCCAGATGTTTTCGTCTGAAATTCTCTGGGCTTGTCATTCCACCTGTATCGTGCTGCAAACCAGGTGTTATGCTAGTAGGCATCTGCCCTCACCCCTCTGCCTGAGTTTTCTGTAGGCAGATGTTAACCTGAGAAAACAAGTGCCATGTGGACACCAAGTAAGCATTTTTGATAATGAATTAGAGCACCAGTTTCTACTGAATGGAGCAAAAACCTTCAGCCATGGCCAGGCTGCATCCCTTTGGTCCTGGAGTTTCATCTACTTACTGCCATCTTCCACGGTCTTTGCACTGTCCCGTGTCCCATCCCCCTGGGAGGCAGAAGAGATTGCCTCGGAGTGGCCTTATTTTTCTCGCAACTTGTGAAATGATGTAGTGCTCTATGTAATATGGCCGGGTTTCCAAGCTGTCATCCAATGGAAGTAGAATCTTCTCTTTGAATCATATGGTACAGGTGCCAATATGACTGCTGCTATTTAGAGTCAGAGA